>NC_000004.12:154072896-154375926 GCF_000001405.40 Homo sapiens | reverse complement strand
GTTGTGTATAGCAATAGTTCACTCATTCTCATTGGCTTATAGTATGCCTTTATGTGAATATACAATAATTTTAACCTGTTCTATAGTTGGTGGTATCCATTTTAGGCTATGCTTCTTTTAACATTCTTATACTTGCAATATGGTGAACAAATGTAAGCATTTCTCTTGAGTATATACAAAGGAGTAGAATTGCGCTCCCACCAGTGAAGTATGAAAATTTCATTTGCTACACATTCTCCCTAATGTTTGATATTTAATGCCTTTTTTATTATAGAAATAATAGTACTTATGTAATGATATATCACACTGGGGTTTTACTTTGTATTTGTTTAATAACTAATGAGGTTTTTTTTCATGTTTATTGCTATTCGTATAATTTGTGAAGTGTCTATTCTTCACAGAAGAAAATCCTTTATTCATTTTCCATTGTTATTGTTGGATCTTTTTCTTACTGATGTGCATGAGTTCTTTATATTTTTGGCCTGAAAGTCCTTTTTTCGATATATTTACTGCATATATTTTTCTCCCATTCCGTGGCTGGCCTTTTCTATTCTTAATGGTTTCTTTTGAGGAACAGAAGTTCTTCATTATAATAGAGCTTAGTAGTTTCTCAGTTTGCTTCCTTTTATAGCTAGTGATTTTTGTGTTCTTTTAAGAAATATTTGCTTATCTTAGGGATATGAAGATGTTCTCTTATTGTTTTCTTCCAAAACTTTTGTTTTGTTTTACCTTTCATACTTACTTTTTTTCAATCTAGTGGGAAGAAGTTTTGTTATTTTTTCCCCTATGATTAACTCAGCACCACTTACTGAAATGGTTATTCTCACTTTTACCTATTTATCCACCTTAGTGCTAGCAACATCTCTCTTAACTATTTTAGCTTTATCATAGGTCATGGTATCATACATTCTTTTAGCTTTGTTCTAACTTAAGATTACCTTGACTATTCTTGACCATTTACATTTCCAAATACAGTTTAGAAACAACGTGTTCAATTTACATTGTTTACAGAAAAGGTGGCCTACTATACACACCGTTCTGCGCTTTGATTTTTTTTCACTTATTTCATTTTGGAGACTTTACTTATATTTTTCACTTATACATTTTGAAGACCTTCCTTGTTTCTTTTTCATCTGCTTACTACTCTTTTGTATAGACAGACCCTACTAACACCTCTCTGGTCTAATCATTCTCTTTTGAAATTAGTGAGAGAATCCACCTATTTAAGCTGTGAATTTTGGGGAAAAAATGAGTCTAAATATATTACAAGTAAACATGTAAAAATGAACATGAAGTACAGCCCTTTATATTCAATAAATATTCATGATCTGTTTGGTTAGATTTTTGCCAATACCTTACTATGTAGTTTCAGGAATCCCTGACTCTATGTAAGAAAATATGTAGGAAACAAAAAATAGGAGTAAACAGAATTTATATTAATTCAAGTATATGTAATTATTTGAAGCCCAATAGATGCACACCCAAATATTAATCCAAGCCTTAAAAATATATTCTTGATAGATTTTGAGACAATTGTATAATGCCATCCTAGAATTGAATAATGGGTTTAAAACACAACTCTCATGAAAACCACCAAAAAGAATTAGCTGTGTCTTCCAGGCTACTGTCTGCTGTCCACTGTGATCTAAACAAGCCCCTGTTGATTCAACTAGTTTCCAGGTTTTGGTGGCCAGATGCAGGACACAGAGATCCTTGTAGTCGTAGAACTGCTGTCCATCAGGAGAAGCAAGCTCCCCTGCAAATGCTCATAACCTGTCTGTCATATCAATGCACCACCACAGCCTGGAAAGCACAGTGCTCCAGAAGTGCATTGGGAATTTTGACTTTAATCCAGGTGTCTTTTCTGGTATTGTAGATATAGAGGTGGTTATATAAGCAAGTTTTTTTTTTTTTTTTTTTTTTTGCTATTAAAATATCCACCTCCAAAAAGGATCAATTCATTGTTTTCAGGATGAGCAGAGAATGACACATTTAGCCCTGGTGAAGGTAAGGAACATGATGTTTCTATAATCTGAGTCTTTTAACATCTGGTGCCTGGAAATGGGTTGTCAGAGCTTCGAGTTTTCCTTCTCCCCTGAGTGCTTGCACACCTTCTCCATCTTGGCTGTGATTTTCTCCTTCTTGCCCTCTTGCCCGTCTTGCAGGTATGAGGCTGAATGGAGATCCAGACAGGGAGCTGTGTGCAGGAGGGAACCCTCTTGGAAGCAGGGCCCCTCCTGGAAGCAGGACCCCTCCTGAAGTAGGTTTATGTGAAAACGGGACCTGGCACAAGCCCAGGGATGCATTTTAAAAGACAAATTCTAGAAGAGCCTCCACATCACAGGCTTTTAACAAATCCCCAACCTTCACTCTGGACCTAAAACTGCCTCCAGCATTCCTTATGTTTGCCTCAGAATATATGGAGAGCAAGCAACATATGTGTTTTCATGTGAGTGTATGTGTATGTATACACATATAGTATGTATATATGTATGTAAACATATATACAAATACAAGGTTATCCAGTGTGCAGCATTTATTCTGTTGACTGCATAATCCTCATGAATTTCTTCTGTGATGAACTGAGTTTTTACAGGGTGACTTCTGCATCTATCATAATTATTCTTTGCAATATTATTTAGCAGTACATGTCCCTCAGAAATGCATAGTCAAAAAGGTTGGTAAAGAGAAAGATGACAAAGTTGGTAATGACTCAGTAGTCTTCCCCTGAAAGCAACGTAGACTGCATTCAAAGAATAAATTAATGCAGACAGGACATTTTAGGTTTACGTTGTTGGATTCTAGGCCATAATGAGTTTATTTAAACCAATAAACTGAACCTTGACAGAAGTCCTTTAACTTTATGTTGTTACCTTGACAATCTCTGGTTTTTCCTCTGATTCCTTCTCTTTGTAATAAATGTCCTGAAAGCCCTTTAGAAGAAAATTGCTGAGAACCCATTTGCTGGTGGTTACTAAGAGATTTTTATCTGCCAGTAGAAGAATTTTTCTTGTAAAATACATTGATGTTCGTTGCTACTGCTCTATTTATCCTTGTGAAGACTGTCAATATTTTTTCAACTGAGTCACTTCTACTCTACTGATATTACTTCTGAAATACTCTATTTTTGCTGCTGCTGCTACTGCTGCTGCTATTTATCTCATAAGTCATGAGAATGCTATAAAATTACATAATGTAACCAAACAATTGAATTACATTGGCAATCAAGTGGTTTTTCACAAGAAAGCTCTACAATTTAATTATTCCATGCTTATATCTAATTTTTTGTTTCCTTTTCCCATTCATTTTTACCAAATAGATTTTTTTTGGTGTATGTGCTTATTAACACTCTATCTCTATTTTTTGTTACATCCTGGATTCTGTAGCTGACATATGTGTTTGAGATAAAGCTATTTCAACTCCATCTCACCACTGAAGGTTTAAGGGAGGATTTTGTCAGACGAGCAAGAAAGGAAGTAAACGGACTGAGCTCTTCACTGTTCTTTACATTCATGAGAAAAGTTGGCTACTGAAGTTGTGCTCATAGTTTGTGTGCAATGCAGTTACTCCCAAAAAGTAAACTTGCTGAGTAAAAAGGCACATTCATTTTCATTTTAATAGATTATGTTCTTTAACTTTCTAACAAATGTTCAAATGCTTATTCCTGTCTTTCGTTTCCTTCATTAGCAC
This sequence comes from Homo sapiens, assembly GCF_000001405.40. NCBI lineage: Eukaryota > Metazoa > Chordata > Mammalia > Primates > Hominidae > Homo > Homo sapiens. The sequence continues at coordinate 154,372,236 of NC_000004.12, read as the reverse complement.
CCTCCACCTGTTCTAGGAATGAGCAGTTGCCCCATCCCCCCATTGTCCCGTGTTTTCTAACTAAATTGCCTGGACCATATCTTAGATTTCCCATCATTCTTTAATATATGACCAGGATGTATCCCAAATTATCTTCAATACTCCTTTACCTCCTTCTAATCTCTAAAAGTTTAAGCATCCAAGCCATTTATTATTATCCATATTCTCCTCCCCACCCTGCCCAGTTCATCCCTTAGTTTAAATCAATCTCTTACTGATGTGGTTTGGATCTGTGTCCCATCAAATCTCATGTCGAATTGTAATCCCCAGCGTTGGAGGTAGGGCCTTGTGGCAGGTGTTTGGATCATGAGGGTGGATTTCTCATGAATAGTTTAGCACCATCCCCCTCCGGTACTGTTCTCCTGATAGTGAGTGAGTTCTCATGAGATCTGGTTATTTAAAAGTGTGTAGCAACACCCCTCTGCCTCCGCCTTCTCTCTTGCTCCTGCTCCTACCACTTAAGATGTCTTGCTCCCCCTTTGCCTTCTGCCATGATTGGAAGCTTCCTGAGGCCTTCCCAGAAGCTGAAGCTGCTATGCTTCCTGTTCACCTGCAGAGCCATGAGCCAATTAAACCTCTTTTCTTATAAATTAATCAGTCTCAGGTTTCTTTTTTTATAGCAATGTGAGAATGGACTAATACACCTACCTGCCTTCTCTGCCCTTCGAAATGCTTCTACCATGCCCTTTGGAACTCGTGGTCCATTATTTAGCAAACTCCTTTATGAACTTAAGCTGGTCTCTGATTGTTTCTTTAACTTTCGGCCCTGATTAAAACAACCTACCCCACAAGGATACCCGTTCCTTTCTGCACTCTCACAAGGAAGCCCATAGTCCACCAATCACAAGCTGACAGGAAGTGAGTTGGGTGCCCTGCTTGTTGCCCAGGGCAGCATCCAAATAATTTCTACTCCTTTCTCCATCAAAAACGAATCCCTTTTGAAGTTCTTGTTGTCTGACTATACCATAGATACTTCTCCTCTTTTTTTTTTTTCCTGTCATGACTTAAACCTCCTTATCACTTAGGACTTTCACACTTTGTTCACAGTCTTCCTCTTCACCAGTTTCCTCATCATTCTGGGAGACTTTACTATCATTTGCTGAACAACCCAGCACCCTGAGCCTCTCAGTTCCTTGACTTTCTCATTTCCAAGGATTGTCACCAGTAATTGCACAGCTTTGATATCTTGGCTTCAAGCATGCTGTTCCTGATAAACATTTTTATCTTTCTGTCTAATTTACTGTAGCACGTCCACTTTAATCAATAATTCTTCTCCCATGTTAAGATCATTGATTTGTTACCCATCACTAAAGTCACTCAGTTGCAAACTCCCTTTAGTTTTCCCATTCAATAGAACTCTCCTGGTAAAACCCCAGCCCTACGTAAATCTGACGCTGCATTTTCTGCACTGCCATCTCAGCAGCTGAAGTACTTGGAGAAAAATAACAGGTCTGCTTGAGAGAGAAAGGTCTTACCTTCCTACCACCAAATCCACTAACCTACCTGCGTATCAGCTCACATTCTTTGCTTTCTTTTCTATTATCTTTTTAGAGATGTCCCTGCTTGCATCAAAAGCAAATCTCTCTACTGTTTAGGGTCCCATCCATTCCAGCCTTCTTACAGATAACATTTCTATAATGATTTTCTCTTTTTTCCTGCATCATTAATTTATCAAGCTCTTTTGGATGACCCTCATAAGCATACAGGGCATAATAATAGTCTCTATCTTAAAAAATACTCTGGATTCCTTTTGATGTCATGTACCTTTTCAGAAAACCATTTTATTCTTCTTCTTTCTTCACAGCAAGTCTCCTAAAATAGTGGTCTCCATTTCCTCACTTTTCAATCTTTATTTGATCTATTTTTCCCTCTCTACCTCTTCTATAAGACTGCTTTTCTCTACATGGTTACTGTCGTGCCATAACCTGGGATTCTTTATTTATTTTTATCTGATTCATCCTCTCAATGAATTTGAAAATATTCTTTAGATGCTGCTTCTCTTGGATTTGGTGATGTCACAACTTATGTTTCTTTTTTTTCCCCTTTAAGAAGCTGGAACCTCATTTCCTTCCACCTTTGTTTATTGAATCATGAAATATAGACTGGAGTTCATTGACATAGAAAGCTCACTGGAATGAAACCACAGCTCACAAGAGCTGAGAGATGTGAAGGAGAGATGTTATTAATATTCTACTATTCAGGAGTCCCAGAAGGCAAGAACAAAGAGAATGGAAAGCAGACAATTACCAAAGTAGAAGTAACGGTAGAAAATGTTCCCTACCTGCTGATTGCCCTAGGCGACCCTCCTGCCTCCAATATTATATGTTTTCAAGCTTGGAGCTTTCCCAAACAACTTTCATCTTTTATAGTATAACTTGAAGAAATTGGGTTTCCTACCATAATCCTCACAATTAAATGCTGAAAATGAAATAAAAATGCCACATGAATCATCAGTGGAAAAAGAAATGATAAGACAAAATTAAGACATACTCATGCATGGAATTTATGGGATGTATTAGCTACCTATTGCTGTATAACAAATTATTCCTGAATCTAGCAGCTTAAAATAGCAAACATTCATTATCTTATATAGTTTTTAAGGGCCAGGAACCTGCAAGTGGCTTTGCTGGGTGGCTCTGACTCAGTCTCTCATGAGGTTGCATTATCGAAACAGTTTCCATGAGCTGGACAAAAGTTTAGCTACACAGCATTGGGAAGTGCACACTCTAAGTGGATGGAGAAAATTAGTTTAGATCAGCTATTCCCGCACTGTGTTCTGTGGGAAACTGGTTTCCCAATATGTTTCTTTCAAAGAGCATTCTGGGGCCTAAAAAGAGTGGGGAACACCTCAGAACTCACTCCCTCTAGAAATGTATGTGCAAAAGGCTCTGTGAGAAGTTCTGAGGCATAGAATGCATCCACTTAACTTGGTGAATTCAGCATTTTCCCCCCTTTTTGTCTGAGGAAGTTCTCTACCTTTTTTGTAAAGATGCATCTCTTCTTCCCTATCCCAGATACCTCTTTCTAAAATCTAGATTTGATCTTGTCATTTCATTGAGGATAGCAATAGTTGTCCCATGTGGGTGTTTAAGAAGACAACATTAGAATTCTGTCCTTTTACATTTTAGTTTTCTGATATTTGTAATATAAGTAATACATTAGCACAGTAAATGTATATACAGTTTATTAACAGATAAAAAATATATATTAAGAATGTACACACCACATTTTATACTGATGGAGTAGAATAAATCTGTCCTCTTTAGCACTTAAATCAGGTGAGAGGAATCTGACTGCCAAGCCTGTCCTCTGGATTCTGCCCAGCCTCTGTCACTAAATGCCCAGCCCTCTCTAGCCCCACTAGTGTGCTTACCCTACCGGCAACAAAAATGTATTGTTGGCCAGGCATGGTGGCTCATGCCTGTAATCCCAGAACTTTGGGAGGCCAAGGTGGGTGGATCACCTGAGGTCAGGAGTTCGAGACCAGTCGACCATCTCTACCAAAAATACAAAATTAGCCGGGTGTGGTGGTGTGTGCCTGTAATCCCAGCTATTCGGGAGGCTGAGGTAGGAGAATCACTTGAACCCGGGAGGCGCAGGTTGCGGTGAGCCAAGATCGTGCCATTGCACTTCAGCCTGGGCAACAACAGAGAAACTCCATCTCAAAAAAAAAAAAAAAAGTATTATACGTTTTCCACTTTGTGCATCTAACATTTGCTTATTTTTTACAGCACTGCCTGATTTAGGATCTTTGTTCTTAAATATCTTAAGCTGGGGCAATATTCATTTCTTCATATTTTCCCCACTTTTTCATTACTTCTCTTACCTCAACCCTAAGTGACCTCTTGAATTTGAGGAGAAATAAAAAAGAAAGAGGAAGGGGAAAGGAAAAGGGAAAGCAAAACTGAGAAGAAAGGCAGTTTCGAGCAGCAGCAGGGTCTGTGGCAGAGGTGAAGGAATATTTTCTATAAGCTTATCACCAGTGTGCAGTCCCCTCTTACTACGTCGAACCTGGAGACATACAGGTTACTTAGGGTGGCTGCAGATGTAGGGCGACCCTGCATTTTAAGCATAAAGGCCAGATAGATGAACTTGCATTGTTCTTTGTGGAATCATAACCAGCCCCATTTCTCCTATTCTAATTGATACCCGGCATGGCTCTGGCACTTTATTCAACTCAGAACATGGAAAATCAGACTATTTCTAAATTATTTCCCCATCATTTTTTAGTCCTCAAAGCCTGGAGTACAAGGGACCTCAGAGCTCAGAGCTCAGAGCAGGACAGCCGTTTCTGGGTTTGTCTTACCTTCCTCCCATACAATCTTCATTCTTGCCCTCCCTCTCTCCCTGTCAACAAGTGCTTCCTCTCTGCATGGCAGCAGTTCTCCCTCTGTCCCTTGCCAAATCTTCTTCCTCCTTGTCATTTTTCCTCCTTGCTCTGTGCCTCCCTGCCAGAGTAGAAAAAGGAAACAAAAAAGATGAAGAGGGGGAGGATACATGAGTGAGAAAACCCAGGCTGTTGTGACTTACCAAGGATTTTTGTCAAAGATGAAAGTGTCAAAATGTACCAGATAGAAACAGAAAATGGTGCTTTAAAGTGGGAACATGTGTTTTACTTTAGAAAAGTAAAAATTGCAGAGGATTATTTTCTTCTATTTCATTTGCTCTCTTTCTCCTTGATTTTAGATGGAGGCAACACCAAAAAAGCAGTATGGGATCCACTTCTCACTACTTTAGGTGCTGCATTCCCTTCTAAAACTTGAAAAATTCAGAATTCCCAAACAAATCTGGCCCCCAGGATCTGGGATGAGTACCTGCACTGCTCCTGTCCTCCTTCAGGCCCCATCCACTCTGGACTTGATTCAAAGAGCCTCCTCCTGCCCGTTCTCCCTCCTTCCACCCTGCTGCTCTTCGGTCTGTTCTGAACACTGCAGCTAGAGCAGTGTTAACATCTCAGTGAAATCAGGCCACTCTTGTGCTCAAAGCCCTCCTGTGAGGAAGAACCATGTCCTTCCAGAGACCTGCAGAGGTCCCTAGGACTCACTCCTGCCTCTCTGAGCTCAGCCCTTCCTGCTTCCTTGCTGCGGCTGAGCAGGCCTGAGAGGTACACCACGTTCCTGCCTTAGGGCCTTTGGCTCTGCTCTTTCCTCTGCCTGTTATTCTTTCCTTTCTGGTAACTGAAGTCTAGCTGCCTCATGTGGGTTGGTCTGCACACCAATGGTACCTTCCTAGTGAAGGCTTCACCAGGGCACCCCCCTGCCCATGCTCCCTCACACCTTCTTCTTAGCACTTACCAGCATTCACTTAAAAATTATCTTAGGGATAAAAGTGATTTTGATTTCTTTTTGGACATCAGGACAAATTTCCTTGAATGTATTTGGCCTCTACTCTGAAATTTTTGCCTCACAGCTGCTCTAAGTGGAAATCTCATTCCATGCTTAAGAATCAGCAGTGAAGTGTACATACCATGCTGTTACCTATGAATTCATACATCAAAGTTGAAAATAAAATGAATATAAAGACGTGTTTGTGTGTGTGTGTGTCTGTGTGTGTGTGTATATATACACACTCTTTTGAAATGACAAAATGTGTATGTATGGGGGTGTGTGTATATGTGTATACACACATATACATATACAAACCCCCACATATTCAAATTCTGTTGTTTCAAGACTATTGTAGGGCCATTGTCAATTATTCTACATCCTAGTGTTCAGCAAAAACCCATTTGTAATCACCACTCATTCATCCACCAGGGTGGGCTAAGTGCCCAAGCCTTTGTTCGTGTGGACCTGGAGGACGTGAATGATAATCATCCTGTGTTTAACCCATCAACCTATGTGACGAGCATCAGTGATGAGACCCAGCCAGGCACCGAGATCATCAATGTTCTTGCCACTGACCAGGACTCTGGGATATATGGGACAGTGGCTTATGAGCTTATTCCAGGAAACGTGTCGTCCCTTTTTACCATTGACTCCACCACAGGTATGTGATCTTGGAACAGTTTTCATCCTTTGGCTATAAAGTTTCTGCTTAACTACTTAACAGCCAGAAAATTAGAAAAAGTGACTTTTTTTCAATAATGGGGGTGTTGCAGGACTCACTTAACCTTCTAGCAGATGCTGAAGTATATTGAAAATGGCTGAGGCTTTGTAGTGGGTTAGACCTGGATCTGAGTCCCAGCTTTGCCTACTACTGATCTTGTGGTCTTTATTGGCCTCACTGTCCTTACCTTAAAATTGGTGTTGACTGGGTGCGGTGGCTCACACCTGTAATCCCAGCACTTTGGGGGGCCGAGGTGGGTGGATCAAGAGGTCAGGAGTTCAAGACTAGCCTGGCCAAGATGGTGAAACCCTGGTTCTATTAAAAAAAAAAAAAATTAGCCGGACGTGGTGGTGGGCGCCTGTAATCTCAGGTTCTCAGGAGGCTGAGGCAGAGAATTCCTTGTACCTGGGAAACCGAGGTTGCAGTGAGCTGAGATCACGCCACTGCCCTCCAGCCTGGGTGACAGAGAGACTCCGTCTAAAAAAAAGAAAAAAAAAAGTACTGTTATCTGGGCTCTGTGGCTGACTCCTGTAATCCCAGCTACTTGGGAGGCTGAGGTGGGAGGATGGCTCGAGGCCAGGAGTTTGAGGCTGCAGTGAGATATGAAGCTATGATCAGGCCACTGTCCTCCAGCCTGAGTGACAGAGCAAAACCCTGTCTCCAAAAAAAAAACAAAAAAGTAACACTGATAATATCTATGTTGCAAAGTTTTTGTGAGAGAACTAAAGACAGTAATTTATGTAGAAACGGTTGGCCAGTATTTACCTTGCAAATGTTAATTTCCCCTTATTTGTATGATCATGCCATCTGAGGGTGACTCGAGGGTGACTGAGCCTCATTTGGATGTATTAATAGCTAAGATTAGTGCAAAGACATTTTTACAGGCGTCCAAAGTAGATCCTTTTTTTTTGTACTAGGTCTGGCATTCCCTTAGTCTCTTTGGGTTTTAGTTTCCTTGTTTTAAAAATGATACCTAAAGCTCCTTTTAGTTCTCTACAATGGTAATTGCATATCTGCCAAAGAATCCCAGTGGGCAAGCTGTCTTTTAGAAATCATGAATATTTAAGAAGTTACCTTCCATTTTCTATTCATTAGCTTGTTGCTAACAAAATATTGGTTTAAATATTTGATTATAAGAAAATAAAACATTTCAAAAATATAATATGACATTACAATACTTTTGAGATACTTAGAGATACTCTGGTCCAAAAATGAGGCTGCAAAAAAAGAAAAAAAAAAGAATTTTTTTCTTTTGCATTTTTCCACCTGATCCAAACAGTGGGTAGAATGTGTTTCTATTGTAATGGTAATGATAATGTCAGATGCTACACTAGACATTTTCTGTACATTGTCTTATTGGATCTTCACAACATGCTTTGTAATAGCCATATACGGTAGAAACAAATGATAATTTACACAGGAAATCTAATGTGCTATGTGAGTGTGCCCTCTCACCCAGCCCCATTAGGTAGAGAGCCGCTGCTTCTGCCTGGAAACTGTGCCTTGTCTGGCTTGTGCAACTGGCCAGGGATTAGTTGTTTATACTGGCAGTCTTTGTAAGGCAAAACTTTCCTTGCTCAAAATAATACACTGATGTGGCCCCTTTAACATTTCAAAGATCAGAAGAAAATACTTTTGCGGGAAATTAGTCTGTTTAATCTCAGCTTTTTCAAAATTCATCTTAACTGAGGACTTAACTGCCTATCAAATTGTCAGGCCCTCTAGGGCACTAGCATTGCCAAAAATATATAGGTCAGCCAGTAATCAGGGCACAGGATCTAAAAGCATTTAACAGATTGTTTTAAAAAGACATTCACACACTCGTCATTCAGTTTTCCCTGGAAGATCTGGAAGAATGAGTTATACTGTATTCTGTTTTTAGAGGAGATCTCTCTTGCTGTCCTGGCCGAAGCCAGACTCATGCTTCCCTTCCTGGCAGCGACTATAGCACAAATGCCATTGTTAATCATGGAAAACACTCTGTGTGGGTGATTATCTTAGGGAACTTTCATGGAATTTTATTTTTAAGCAAAGACCAAATTTATATGGAAATAGCCTTGGGTTCTTATTGTTGGCGGTTTTGATACCCGTGTATTTAGATTGAAGACATTTCTCAGTCAAATAGTGCTTGGAATTTGGTCGCACTTAATCATAACTCATGAGAAATTCATGAGGACTGGTAGTGCTTTACTTTAACCTTTAGAAGAGAATGAAAAAGCATCGTGACTAGCTATGGGAAAAAGTTGTCCGGTGAACAGGCAGCTGCTAAGTTGAATGGTTGAGTTCTGAAAGTTCATCTGTTGGTTGACAGCAACTGAAAACACATTGTATATAATTATGGCGTACAAGGTGGTGTTTTGATGTATGTATATTGTGAAGCGATTAAATCAAGCTGGTTAACATAACCATCACCTCTCACACTTAGAATTTTTTGTGGTGAGAATATTTAAGACCTACTCTCTTAGTAATTTTCAAGTATAGAACATATTATTATTAATACATTATTATTAATGCTATAAAGTAGATCTTCAGAACTTACTCATCCTGTCTAACTGAACCTTTGTAACCTTTGGGCAACATCTCCAATTACCCCAGCCCTTGGCAACCACCATTCTACTCTCTGTTTCTATGAGTTCAGTATTTCTAAATGCCACATGTAAAAGTGAGACCATGCAGTATTTGTCTTTCTGTGCCTGGCTTATTTATTTAGCATAATGTTCTTGAGGTTCATCCATTATTGTCACAAATGATAGGCTGTCCTGTTTTAAGGCTTAATAGTACTCTATTGTGTATATATACTACATTTTCATTATCCATTTATCTATGGATGGACCCTTTGGTTGATTCTATATCTTGGCTATTGTGAATAATGCTGCAATGAACATACTAGTGTAAATATATCTTTGACATACTGATTTTTTTTCCTTTGGATATATACTCAGAAGTAGACTTTCTGGATCATATTTTAGTTCTATTTTTAACTTTTAAAGGAACCTCCATACTGTTTTCCATAATGACTGTAACACATTTTCTATACAAGGATGTTCTCAAATAATAGAACAAGAAGCAGTATTAGAATATACAGTTGATTCTTGAACAATGCAGAGGGTAGAGATGCTAACCCTCCACATAGTTAAAAATCTGTGCATAACTTCTGACTCCCCCAAAACTTAACTGCTAATAGCCTATCACTGACTGGAAGTCTTACCCATAACATAAATAGTGGGTTAACACATCTTTTGTGTGTTTTATGTATTATATACTGTATTCTTACAATAAAGTTAGCTAGAGATGGGAAGTTATTATTAAGGAAATCATCAAGAAGAGAAAATATATTTACTATTCATTAAGTAAAGGTCTTCATCCTCATCATCTTCATGTTGAGATGGCCGAGGAGGAAGAGGAAGGAGAAGGGTTGGTCTTTCGGTCTCGTGGGTGTCGGAGGTGGTAGAGACGGAGGAAAGGGCAGGCAGGAGAGGCAGGCATACTTGTAACTGTTATTGAAAACTATCTGTGTATAAGTGGACTCACGCAATTCAAACCCATGTTATTCAAGGCTCAACTGTAGTCTTCCTCTTCTGGATATTTTCTTTCAGGAATCTACATAAAGCTGGACTTTCTTGCTCCCATCATATGGCCGATCTCTACAGAGGCTGCCAGTGTAAACACAGTCCTAAGAAAGTGCCCCCATCATATATTTGTGGAATAAATGAATAAATAACATCTAGAAATATTGCAAAAGTAACTTAAATCCTTCCTACAGCCTCTTAAAAATTTCATGGGAGTTTCATTGATATATGGAGCAAAACTTTATTTAAAATCCTCTTTCTGAATCACAGCATGGTAAGTGACTCTATGGCCTATCCCCACGTTTCCTCAAAACTCTCCCTAGACTTTCTCTCCAGCCTACCTGTGCTGGCACTTTACTTTTTGTTACCTCCCTTTGTCTCTGGATTTTTCTATTCTCTTCCAGAATACCTGTCTGGCCTTGACAATGGGAATTGTTCAAGCTAGTCTCAACACCTTTTAATTTTCCTTCTTCCTTTTTATCCTAAGTTCTTATATAGGCAGGTTGAGATGTTATGTCATATGAGAAGAAGATTGAGAATTGATGAGCCCATTTATACATTGCTACTTCTTCCTGAATTACTCTAGAATTCTCTCTTAGAGATTTCATTTGCACACTGGTTCATTCATTCTTTCATTTTGATGCTTTCTTTATCAGACATGCTATTTTATAAACTTACATGCTTTCTGTTATAGGCTTGTGTTTTCCTGAAGACAAAAGATTTCTCATTGATCTATTATGCCACAACCAAGACTCATGCATTTAAAAATAGAGCTGTTTGACTTACTGTGTTCATCTGGTATGAAAAATGTTTTGGAGAAAACTAGAAGGGGGTGTGGCGATGTCATGGTTGTTTTCTCTTGTGGGTTTATCTTCCTGTTCTGTTTCTAGTTTTCTGGGTTTGTTGCTGGTTCAAAGAACATTTTTGTAAAATGTGTTTAGGCGCCACGAGAGAGATACTGAGTTGAGCCTTCATTTCTCTTATTCTTAGTTCACTGGCTTTCTTTGATGTGGGCACAAGGCAGACCACACTGTTTTGAGTTTTAACGGGAAGAAACACAAGAGACATATTTATTAATAGCTCTTTTTTCATGTATTTTTAATCCCATTTTGTGAATTATATGTAGATTTCTTCCTCCATCGTTTGAAGTGCTCTCTTTAGTAACATTAAAAGAGCAGTTCTTTAGCTTTGGGGTTTGTCCTATTTATTCTGTAGTTTTACACTGGAAGAAACTACTTTTTTTTCAACTTTTATTTTAGATTCAGGGGATACATGTGCAGGTGAAGTTACCTGGGTATAATGCATAATGCCAAGGTTTGAGGTTTGAGGAATTCAGATCATTTTAAGGCAACAGGCAGGTTTCAAGCTTTTGTGCTGGTCATTTATTTTCATCCCAAACTATCTCTTTTATTCAGGCAACCATTGGTTAAATCTTGTGGTTTATCTCTTTTTCTATAGAAGCATGTTAATGATATAAATGCAAATCAATAAAAGTCATAAACAGAATGTAGCTTATCTATTCAAGGAATAAATGGAAGCCAGTTCATCTGTTCAATACATATTTATTCAGTGCTTATGATGCAGCAGGCCGTGTTCTAGGTGTTTGGGATACATCAGTGAATAAAACAGACAAGAATCCCTGCTCTTGTAGCACTTACAGCAACAAGCTTATGTGGCTTAGCCTTTGTCTGTTCTATGTTTAGTTGTGGTGTACACAAAATCCAAGTTTAGCACTACAGAAAAACAAGTAATTGAAAGGATATCAAACTGCCAGACAAGGGCAGCTGTTCCTCAGTGTTTAGTTGTAATCTTTTGTTTGTATGGGGTGTGTGATTTTAACATAGACTGTAAGTAATGTAGTACAGACTTGTTTTCTGTATTTCAAGGGCAGATTCTTTTCCAATGTTAGTTTTATGCTCAGATTTTATACCATGTAATGATTCTTGTAATTCTTCACAAACGCCACCTTCCTACATTTAACGTTGAACATTCTGGTATACAGTTAATAAATTAATACCACACCTCATTTCATAAGGGATGTGAGCCTGTTCCTGCCAAATAAATGATGACTTTCTCTTATTTGCAAGACAGAGTCTAAAATTAATCATGAGCACCTAATCAGTGTACGTTACTTTCATAGGAAACAAAAGCATGTTAGAGAATTTCTTCATTAGGTTTCTCGTACCAGATCACAGACTTATAAAGATGGAAAGAACCTTACAAATTAGCTGCCTCATTTAGTGGAGGAAGAAATTGAGGCTGGAAGGGATTTGATGACTTATCTAAAGGTACACTGTTGGTGATGGTGGCATTGGACTTGAATCCCATTCTAAACCTGTGATCTGTTCCTGTGCTGCTCTGTCTCAGATAATAATAGTTTTCAGTGTCTTTTCCATATGTAATATTGCCTATTTGAGTCTTACATTAATTACATGGGATAAACATGGCAAATATTTTTATGTTCATTTGCAGATTAAGAGACTGAAGACTCTAAAATTCTTAGTGACTTACTCAAAGACACAGTAGTAAACCTGACACTTGAATTTACTTCTTGCACTTCCATTTCAAGGCTTGTTTCATAATTATGACTTAAAAAAAAACACTAAAGATGAAGCTAAGATAAATATAGGTTCTACTGATTCAACTAAATAAGATAGAAAAATGACCTCTCATTGTGACAGGAATTTCTTTATAAGACTACCTAAACACCAAATTATCTGTTGAATTTTATTTACTCTTTCCAATTGAGTAAGTAGAACTCAGTGGACTTTTCCAAAACAGGTACATTTTTTTCTTAAGAATTTTTTAAAATTCTCAATATGAGATAGAATTTCAAATCCATTCTAGTTTTTTCAGCCAATACTACTTAGTCGCTAAGATTTGTGTGCAAAATAAATAGCACAGTGTAATCTATTTGGTAAATAAGTTTTTATATTCTCACAAACTGAATATAGGAGATACTTCATAAATATCTACAACTAAGAAGAAAATGGTATTGATATCCTGTAGCTTTTGGTTTGTATCTGTTTGTGAGAGAACCTCACTTTTAAACTCCGTATCTGTTGAAGGTCATGATTTTGTGCTTATTTTTGTTGCTAACTATTTCATGGCTTATAATTTTAGTAATGATTTACTGATTATTTTCTAATTATGAATTGCTACCTTGGTTAAAAATTCCATTTTCCAGGATATTTTATTCTGAAAGTCAGTATTGCTTAGTTAGTAGAAGAGCATGATTATGTACGTATATATATATCTTTAAGTTCACTTAGTACTGCATCTGTTCAAAACATTTTTTGATTACAACAGTTTCCTCTATTTAAATAAAAAGTGACAAGGTGAAGAGCATAGACAAACATTATATATGATAATTGGTATGTATAAATCCAAGCAGTCATTAAAATAGAAAATAACCAGTGCTCTGTAAGTTAATTAATGACGTTTTTTAAAGTTAATGTTTGTCCCTGCACTGGTGGTTAATTACCATTTGCAAGTGTCATGAAAAATGTGAGCTAAATAATCACTGTACTTTAAAGTATTAAAATATAGTGTCATAAATTTTACTCTGACCAATATATAGGCAAAGAGAGTTATTCATTTTATTTATGATTTTATTATTTATTATTAATAAATAACATGAATTATGATACACACATATATTACATATATGCATATTTATATATAGTAAACAATTAATAACAAATATGGGAGTTACATGTTTTCTAGCCCCTCAACTTCTAATAGAGAGCTTAGTTTATTTAAGCATGTTGGATTCAAATATACAATTACTAGTCAGTTATACTCAATAAAGTTGAAAAAAAAGTTAGATTCAAGTAAATAGGTTTTCTAGCTCCTGTTTATATATAAATGTTTAAAAAAGTGAATGTTTGAAATATTCAGCATATATAATATAGAACAACAAGCTTTATCCTAATACTTCCCTTCTTTTCTAAGTGATGAGTGTTCATTCAAAGAAATTTAATGAACCTAGATGTCCATGCCTAACATTTGCCTCTCTTTGTCCCACTTTTCTTAAACTTATAAGCCACCTTTTGGATCAGCACATTTTTCAAAGATATTTTTGTATTTCAAGTACAATTAAGTTTGTAGGCCACAGAGTCACTGTCTCATGAAGGTGCCTGTATTTCTTTCATGAAAAAGAAATGCTAAGGGCAAACTTTATGTATTGATTATAGTAACTTCTGCAACTAGTGTAGGGCTTCCAAAGACAATGCTGGAAAATCTAAAACAGTCAGGCAAGAGAGCATAAATAAGATGGAACTTGAGCACAACCTTGCAGGATAGCTCAGATTTGGATAAGCGAGTTGGGAAAGAATAGATAGATTCCAGAGAGGAAAACAACACACATGAAGATAGAAATTATTAAGCATTTGTAATGAGAAATTAAAATATAAGTTTGGACTGAGAAACTAAGATACATACAAATTCTACATTCCACAGAGACTTTATGCAAGATTTACAAAGGAGATCCACCTTGTCAATGGTATAAAATGTTGATAATTTGGAGAGAGCTGCTGTTGATTTGTGGGTACCAGAATGGGGTACCAGCACCTTACCAGCTACTCAGAGAACTTACTATGTATTCCCTGCAGTCTGCTGGCTAACTGTAGGCTCATGTCTGATTCTCACCTGAGAAATCTGAAGAAAGGAAAGACTGACAGAATAAAGGAGAAGTTTCTTAAGTGGAGACACACTACATTCCAGGAGTTTGTAGGTGCAAAGAGTATTTAAGTTTTTCTTCTGAATATGGATCATTTTTGAGGGAGAGCTAGTATAGAGTTGTTTTTAAGCCCTGTCCAGAAAGGGCCATACTGCAAGTGATCAGCAACCATCTGGGGCCAGTGGCATGAGCAGTAAGAAGAATTTACCAAGACAGTTTGTAGGTAAAGAAAGGCAGGATTATTCAAGAAAGTATGAAAATACATTGCAAGTGTACAATGGGCAGGTCAGCAAGAAAGGAGCTGACTGTAAGGAGACAAAAGCTTGCTGGGGATTTTGTGTGATGTGCTAAAGAAGGCTTTGTGCAGTACTGATAACACCAAGGTTGCAGTGAACTAACCTGCATTTTACTCTCATCCAAGGGTCTGGTGATAGCTGGGCTCAGAAAGATTGTGAATTATTTGCACAAGAGTGCTACGTGTCCTGGACTATGAAGAAAGGCAGACTTATAGCTTACCTGCTTTTTCTTTTTGCTTTTCCCTGCTCCCACCAGCCTGGCTCCTTTTCCCTAATTAGGACTCTATAGTCCAGAGGTAGAAATTCTGAGTGCTGTCAACTTTTCAGCAGACAAGGAAGTAATGAACAGTTTAGAGATGTTTTTACCTCTGCTAAGGCACTTCAAGTAGAGGTTAGCCTTCTCCAAAAAAGCCAGAGTCAGAAGCATTCACCAAAAAGGCCATGAAAGCACCTATATGAGAAAGTGAGTTTTAAACAACTTCGCAGGCCAAAGGTTCGTTGATGTTAGATTATTTTACTAGCGCTTGTCAAGAAAGAACATTTCTGGGCCTCTCTCCTCCTCTTCTCCCTTGCTTTAATCCTGGATGATTCAGAGATTTAGTTTAACAAAAAGATGAAGGAAGAAAACAACTACTAGATAAGGAAAGAGAGAAGCCAACTACTTCTGACCTGTAGCCTGTGCTCCTCCAAACTTAAAAGTAAGTTTAGAATTTGGATTATTATGTGGTCCTTTATATTTAATTTTAGTCATGCATTGCTCAAAGATGGGGATACATTCTGAGACATGCATCATTTGGTGATTTCGTTGTTGTGTGAACATCATAAAGTGTACTTACATAAATCTAGATGGCATAGCCCAGTACACACCTAGGCTATATGGTATAGCCTATTGCTCCTAGGCTACAAACCTATGCAGCATGTTACCGCATTGACTACTATAGGCAACTGTTTCACTATGGTAAGAATTTGTATATCTAAACATAGTAAAGGTAGAGTAAAAAGGGAATATTAAAGATTTAAAATGGTACACCTGTATAGGGCACTGATTATGAATAAAGCTCGCAGGACTGGAAGGTGTTCTGGGTGAGACAGTGAGTGGTGAATTAATGTGAAGATGTAGGACATTACTGTACACTACTGTAGACTTTAGAAATACTACACTTAGGCTACATCAAATTTCTTTAAATTTTTTCTTCAAAAATAAATTAACCTCAGCTTATGATAATTTTTTAACTTTATAAACTTTAATTTTTTTAAGTTTTTGACTTTTTGTAGTAACACTTAGCTTGAAAGACAAACACATTGTATAGTTGTACAACCATATTTTCTTTCTTTGTATCCTTATTGTATAAGCTTTTCTTTGTTTTTAATTTTTTTTAACTTTTTAAACTTTTTAATTAAAAATGAGACACAAACGCACACATTAGCCTAGGCCTACACAGGGTCAAGAGCATGAATACCACTGTCTTCCACCTCCACATCTTGTCCGCTGGAAGGTCTTCAGAGCCAGTAACACACATGGAGCTGTCATCTCCTATGATAGCAATGCATTCTGAAATATCTCCTGAAGGACCTGTCTGTGGCTGTTCTACAATTAACTTCTTTTTTCAATCAGTAGAAAAGCACTCTAAAATAATAAAAAGTATGATATAATAAATACATAAACCAGTAATATGGCCATTTATTATCATTATCAAGTATCATATGCTTAATTATGTACTTATGTACATAAGCATGTGCCATACTTTTATACAACTGACAGTGCAGTAGGTATATTTACATCATAACCACAAGCAGATGAGTAATGCATTACATTATGACATTAGGACTATTATGACATTATTAAGTAACAGGAATTTTTTAGCTCCATTATAATCTTATGGGACCACCATCGTAAGTGCATGGGCCGTTGTTGACCAAAATGTCATTATGTATGTGACAGTGTTACTGGAATGCTGGTCCTGGTCTAGACCCCAAGAGAGGGTTCTTGGACCTCACGCAAGAATGAATTCAGGGTAAGTCCATAGAGTAAAGTGAAAGCAAGTTTATTAAGAAAGTAAAGGAATAAAATAGGCAGAGCAGCCCTGAGGGTGGCTGGTTGGCTATTTTTATGGTTATTTCTTGATTATATGCCAAACAAGGCATGGATTATTTCTGAGTTTTCTGGGAAAGGGGCAGGAAATTCTCCAAATTGAGGATTTCTCTTCCTTTTAGACTATATAGAGTAACTTCCTGATGTGGCCATGGCATTTGTAAACTGTCATAGCTGATGGGAGTGCCTCTTAGCATGCTAATGCATTATAATTAGCATATAATGAGCAGAGAAGATGATCATAGGTTGCTTTCATTGCCTTCTTGGTCTTGGTGGGTTTTGGCCTGCTTCTTTATGGCATCCTGTTTATCAGCAGAGTCTTTGTGACTGGTATCTTGTGCTGACCTCCTATCTCATCTTGTGACTAAGAATGCCTAACCTCCTGGGAATGCAGCCCAATAGGTCTCAGCCTCATTTTACCCAGCCCCTATTCAAGATGGAGTCACTCTGGTTCAAGCACCTCTAATATCAGTATTAAATTGAGACTGTTTCATCACTGATAATAACTAGGAATTTTAATTGGTTGATGGCAGCTGTGGAAGGCATAGGAGCTTCCTAAATTTTCACTTAGGAATGGGGGAAAAACAGCTAGCTGCACAACATAAATATAAATTAAAAAAAAAAGTCACTCTGTGATTGCCTGCCATGAGTTGTGCTTTGTTGTCATACTCGCTTCATGCATTCATGACAGCAGGAGAGCAGCATGTCTGACGTAGAGAGTATGGACTACTGGATGATGGGAAGGCACATTGAGTGGAGTGGATTCTGAAGTTCAAAAACATGACAGGCAAGTTTAAATTTGATTATTAAGGAACTAAGGAATGATATGAAGATATTTAGCATCAGTGTGATATGGTGAAAGTGATATTTAAGGAAAATTATTCTGGCAGCAGTGTCCTAGATGGATTGTAGGACTAGAACATTTGAATAGAAAAACTAGTTATAAAAATCCATACATAAAGTAATGAGGGTCGTACTAAAGAGACAGCAATACAGAGCAAAAGGAACTTAAGGATATTTTACAGGACAAGAATATGAGTTGTAATGAATTGGATTTATTAATGAAAGGATGAGCTATACATAATTTCTTAATTTTAACTAATGTGATTGATGGTCCAATTGACATCAAGTTGACAAATACCTTAGAAGTGCCACCTAAAGTACAGAACTGTAATTTAGATGAGAGGACAGGGGAAAATACTAAAATAAAGTATTAACAACTATTAAAGCCATGAAACATGAAAACATGAATATTTTGAAAGAAAGAATACATTAAATTATCTTCAAGCCGGGTGCAGTGGCTCACACCTGTAATCCTAACACTTTGGGAGGCTGAGGCAGGTGGATGGCTTGAGCCCAGGAATTCGAGGCCAGTCTGGGCAACATGGTGAAACTCTATCTCCACTAAAAATACAATGTTAACCGGGCGTGGTGGCACATGCCTGTAGTACCAGCTACTCTGGAGGCTGAGGTGGAAGGATTGCTTGAGCCCAGGACGCGGAGGGTGCAGTGAGCTGAGATCACACCACTGCACTCTAGCCGGGGTGACAGAGTGAGATCCTGTCTGAAAAATAAAAACTACAATAAAAAAAAGGTCTTCAAACTTTGGAGTATATAATAATTACTGGTGGAGCTTGTTAAAAATGCAATTCTTAGATCCTTTCCCAAATCTAAAAATCAGAATGTCTGGCTAATCGCCCAGGAAATTCTGTTTTTACAAATAGCCAAAATGATTTTAATGCAGGTAGTCAGGGGACACCCTTTGAGACCCTCCAGGGAATAGAACAAATAGCGTAGCACTTCGCTAGAGGAATGCTTAGAAGTCTGAGGAGGAAGAAGGACCACTGGAAAAGTCCAAGGGATTGTTAAGGAAGGCAAAAAAGAAAACTGTAATATAACCAAAGGAAAGAGACAAAGAGCAAGGGGTCATCATGTCTCTGATAGATGATAGGAGTCAGGGAACAATGAGGGTGGAGATGACTTCCAGTTGGCTGTCTTTCACTTTCACCCTGTCTGTATTCTTTTGTTTCAGGTGTGCTTCTTATACACAACATATGGTTGGATTTATTTTGAAATCCACTCTGATAATGTTTGTCTTTTAACTAGAGTATTTTGTGTGTTTGTCTTTTCTGAAGTCTTTCCTCCTTTAAATCTGCTATTGGTTCTTGGTCTCACTCATGTTGACATATTTCCTGATTTTTTGTGTGTTTTTTTTTAATTGTGGGCTTGGATCTTTATCTGAGGAATTCTTTGAATCCTTGGGTGAAGGTGGGTTTCTTTAGAAGGTATTTAGGTATTTGTGTTTCTTTTGCCCGAGTGTCCTAGAGACATACTTCTCCCTACAATTTTAATCTAACTTCTTGGCTTGAAATTTTTCACATCATCCTATATTGTGAGTTCAGACTAAAAACTGGTGTGAATCTGGTTTATAGTTAGGAATTCTCAAAGGAAATTTTTATCACCTCTTATTTATCACTGAATTTCAAGCCAGACAATTTTATTTGCGATCTACTGGGGATACAGAAGCTTATTTCTAGTTCACCCTTAAACTGAAACCTTTGTGGACCTAATTTTATTGGAGAAACTCTTCTGAGATTCTCCATCCCCAGTCTGCCCCTACCCTCAAATGGCTCTGATCTTGTCTTCTGCCCTCCATGAGCTCCACAAGGTCAGTAAAAGGAAAGATTAAGGTCACTAGGATTTTGCGAATGTCCTGAGAGCCAAAGCCAAATTCAGTATGCTGCTTATTCTCTAGGTTTCTCACATCACTTAAACTTTTTGCCTTCTTTATTGTCAATTTATTGAAGCATTTATGAGGATGTGTTTTTATATTTTATGGAGCACTTGCTTTCAGGAGGAAGGTTAGTCAGAGTCCCTAGTGCTAGAACACAAAACTTTCCTTTAGTAGTCCTTTCAGTGACGGTCTGTAAGATATAAATTATCTGTCTGTGTTTGTTTTATTTTATACTTAATTTTACCAATATTACCTGGGACCCATGAAAGAGGCCCAAGAGGAACCCTCTGCATTTACCAGAAATTGGGAACATTTACAAAGAAGACAGGTAAGGGAGTCTTTATCTGGACACTTGATTTTTCTGTAAGGACAACTAGATTCTAGATTCAACACCTTCTGCGATTAGAGGGGGTGGCTACTCATCTCTTCCCAGAAGGCTGAGCTTCTCAGAGAATGAGGATAAAGCAAGCTGTTGCTTCTTATTATCTCAGCCTTATTGGTTTAGAGAAGATCCCATATTTAGTCTGGCAGGTTGGGGTGACTTGTGGGGTGATGGCACTAGCGGGGAACCAGAAATTCTTGGAAGTCCATATAGAAAATAAAAAGTTAATGAAACAGATAATAATAATAAGCCTTTTATTGCTGGACAAACATGGAGTCCTTCATAATTTGTATGTGTATGCAAGTCTCTCTGTGTGTGTATGTATGTGTGTGTGTGTGTGCATGTGTCTGTGTGTGTGTGGAGTTAGTTCATGCTATACTCAGGTGAGTTGAATGCACCTAGCTATAACTGTGATTAAATTGCCTAATATACATAATTCATAGAAATAGCAAAATGCCTAAAAGCAATCAGTGCCTTCATAGGGCAGGGGTTCCCAACCCCTGGGCCACTGACTGGTACTGGTCTGTGGCCTGTTGGGAACCAGGCCACACAATGGGAGGTGAGTGAGCATTACCGCCGGAGCTCTACCTCCTGTCAGATCGGCGTAAGCATTAGATTCTTATAGGAGCACTAACCCTATTATGAACTGTGCGTGCAGGAGATCTAGGTTGCGTGCTCCTTATGAGAATCTAACTAATGCCTGATGATCTGAGGTGGACCACTTTTATCCTGAAACCATTCCCCCGCCAGCCCTGTCCTGTGGAAAAATTGTCTTCCACGAAACCGGTCCCTGGTACCAAAAAGGTTGAGGATCACTGATTTGGAGGTTAAATATATTGAATAGCTAAAAACTATTGTATAAATAAGAAGGCATCTATTCAGAAGAAACTGTTTATGAAGGCAGCATTTTTCAATCTGCTAAACCTATATCATCTATAGATTTCTATTTTCAGTAATAATACCACTCTAAATATTTTTGTAATGTTTTTATTGCAGTTGCATTAATTTCTGCAATTTTTGAACTGTATTATAAAAATGGCAAGTATTTGAATATGCTTTCTAGACTACAACCCCCTCCAAATTTGCCCACACAACTCCTCTTTACACTCCCATTGAGAGTCTGTAGTGTAATCCCTTATTAGCATTTTCCTGACAAAAGGACCATCTTTTGGTACATACTTTATTGGAGTCACTTAAAAGCTTTTCCTTCAATTGCCCCCTTTTTCCCACCTGTTGTCCACCATTCCCCAAATCCCTCTGCTTCTCACTGGTCATGCTGAACATAAGACAAATCCGTCACAAATGCCATTGTCTAAATGAATCTTTTCATCACTAGAAGGCAGTTTCCTTGACATAGCTTTCATGTCAGCAAACCAGAACAAGAACTTCTTGAAGGCATGGCCAATGGGTGTCCCTCTTCCTGAACCTCTGGCCATCCCTTCTTTTCCTGCATTTTCCCTGAGATCTGACTTCTCAAATAATTTTTGAAACCTTGCACTTTTGTAAAGCTCATCTTTTTAATGGACACTAACCTATTGCTGTTGGTGAAAATAAAGGTCAAAAATAATATTAAAAGGATTTTCTGACATCTTCTACCTAAAGTTAATATTGGTAAATTTACTTTCCAATATACAAAATACATGTGATTATACCTTTTGTGATGAGATTGATAGCAAAAAAAATAGATGGTAAGTGTTGCCTAAAAATCAAAATCACAAATATAGAGATGTATAAATGGTTGCTGTGCAGTTATGGATATGTAGGTTGGCTTTAGAATAAAAATAAATATCTAAGATGTAGAAGATACCAAGTAGCAGGTATTTACATGGCTCTTACAGATGCAATGTCACTGTAAGCCAAGGCCTTGATTCTGTTTTGTGTGTCTGGGGACCAGTGTGTGCACATGACTCAAATCAGCCCCAGAAAGTAGTCAGTTGGCAAAGCATAGATGTACAGTTTCACCTTCAAGTTGAAAAAAAATTTAAAAAAAACTACAGATCTTCACAGATTGTTCTTTAATTATGTAGTCCTTTCTGCAGAGATATTTTCCAATGATTTGCTTGTTTTTGGTGCTAGTTGTTAGATGTATAATCTAAGTTGTGGCTTGTGATGAGAGCTTTCATGTTAAGGTAATTAAAATCAAAGAAATTCAGGGTAATATGTCTTGGAGATAAGAACAACTTTTTCAGAAAGTTATTGAACAGTCACCATGTGCTCATGCTACAGTTCTTTCTTTACTTGTGTCCTGTTAGCTGAGTTCCTCAGAGATCTGTAAGGTAGAGCCTACGCGTTTCCTTATGTTTCCAATGAAGAAGCAGTTGCTGAGAGAAGTTTCATGATTTCTATCAAGTAACACCAGTAGGTGGAGCAGCCAGGACCTGCTCACCTTATCACAATGGAAAATTTCAAATGAGCAGATTCCAGACTCAGAGATAGAACCAAGACTATAGAATGAAATGAAAGGAAGTGGAAGGCATTTTTATTTATCATCATTTCACAGGTATTTTATTTCTGGAACTAGCTATGCATTTTCTAACTTTTATTTTTCTAAAACTCCAAAATAAGGCTTCTGATTTATTAATTAAATAGTATTCATCAACTATCTGTTAATCGTAGCAACACGTTTAAATACATATCATGTGAATCAGCATTTGGTTACAACTGTCACACAAAAAATGCATGAGTTTTACCATAAAGGCTGTGATTTCCCTTAGTTGTTGAACCCTAAGTAGACATGAAAGGATAGTAATAATAGAAACAAAGGTTTAGTCATATTCACCATGTTTATAAAAATATTAGTTTGTGTCCATTGTCACAAATCCTCCCATGAAGTAAGGAGAAGGCAGAAATAATATGCTTTTGAAATACAGGGACATAGAAACACAGTCTGTAAATCATAATGAGTGTTGTTAAATAAAATTTATAGGAAGTCATTGGTTTGAACGGAGCTCCTGCGCTAGGCCCAACAGACCAGACCAAAATGGAGTCACTCACGCTAAAGTTTCATGGCCACCAAGCTGAAATGAAGTTGTCTATTTGACCTTCCAAGAAATCAGGAGAGAGAGGGATAATAAATAGCCAAACCCCCAAATGAGCCAATTTTAGCTGGCATGATAAGAAAGTCCCATCTGATTTAACCTTTACAAGGAAAGTAACTGTGAAATGACTTTTTGTTCCCTGTTTCTGTTTTCCTTTTCTGTCTATAAAGCCAGCCACTTCTGCTCAGCTCACTGGAACACATCGAGGTGTTTCTCAACTCTAGAATTGCAAATAAAAGCCAATTAAGATCTTTAAACTAAATTTGTTGTCATTTTGTCTTTTGGCAATATTTATTGAGCATTAACTGCCTGATTTAACTGTCATGCCAAACCTTTGATATAGGAACTAGTTTTATCTCCATTTCACAAATGAGCAAATGAATCCAAAAAAGATCAACAGCCCATAAACGTAATGAGAAAGTGACAACCAAAATGTGAACTGAGACAGTCTGGCTTCAGAGTTCCCACCTTACCATACGCCTCCTGCTGGTGTTCATGTCCTAGGGCTGCCATAACAAAGCACCACGCACTGGGTGGCTTAGACAGCAGAATCTCATTCTCTAACAGTTCTGGAGGCCAGAAGTCTGAAATCAAGGTGTCAACAGGATTAGTTTCTTCTGGAACCTCCCTTAGCTTCTGGTGTTTGTTGGTGATCTTTGGCACTCCTTGGTCTATGGCAGTGTTACTCTCATCTCTGTTTCCATTTTTGCATGTCCTTCTTTTCTGTGTCTTCTTGTGTCCTTCCTTGTGTGTGGACACCGGTCATTGGATTTAGGGCACCCTTAAAACCAGGATAATTTCCTCTTGAGATCCTTAACTAATTATATCTACAAAAACCCTTTTCCAAATAAGGTCATATTCTGAGGATCCAAGTGGACATAAATTTGGTGAGACATGATCCAACTTACTATATTACCTTTCTAAAATTATGTTATCTTAAAATAATACTCGATTCTTTTCTCAATTATTGCCAAATTTATGACCTTTCCATGGTACTCCCGCAACTGTGAGGACCACTGTCAGGTTCAGGTCTTCAAGGGTTTTGGGTTTTGCTTTAAGTAAATTATTTCCTTTAAACTGAATATTTAAATTAGTGTTATGTCTGTTGTTGGTGGTGCATTGGTGTAAATAGTGGTGTTCAGAGTTGATTCTCTCAAATGATCAGTGTTTCAAATGACAAAGTGAGAGAGAATAATAGTTAAGCCATCTGTGTCCACTGGAAATGTATTTGGGCCTCCCAAAAAGGGACTATCAGCCCACATCCCTGTTGCCAACTTGTGTCAGTATCCAGCTTTATAAAATCAGAAAGCTTTATTGAAAAGATTTTGAAATATTAACTTAGGGGAACACATTGTAAACCCCATGCAAACTATAAGAGTCTGCCACCTACAGTAGTGGGACAAATGCAAAATATACATCTATCCAGGACTGGTTTAGATAAGTCTATGGACCAGAAATCTGTACCATTTAAGTAAAGGGGCTAGACATGTTGGAATGAGTGTCATTACAGCCTCTCCCAAAATGCTCCTTGGTGGCAGGCTACCAGGTCAGATTGGCCACTGGTCAGCTCTTCCAGCGGACTTCCTATGCATGCTTTGCAGTGAAGTATTGATGCTACTCAAGTTCCTCCTACTTTCCCTTTCCCCAAAATATTTTTAAATCATTCATTATTGATTATTTCTTGGTGCATGGAATTACCCATCTAATACCTTGTAGTCCTTAGGAGAGAAGGAAGGGAACTAGTATTGTATTAAGGAGTCAGTATATGTCAGACACTATGCTACAGTACTTTGTAGTACTATACTGTAGTACAACAGTACTTTGTTTATATATACGATGTAATTTTATCCTCATAGCAGTTCTGCACAGTAAATGGTATTAGTCTGATTCTTCAGTCTGTTTAAAGTGATAAACAGAAGCTCAGAGCACTTAAGAAACTGCTGAAGATCAAACTAGGGATTGATAGAACCAAGATTTGAACCCAGCTGTATCTGATGCAAAAATCTGACTCCATGCTCTTTTCTTACTCCATCAACCCTAAATAATAGATTTCTTGCCTTGCTTTTAAGAAGCCGTTCCCCATATGGAAAATATCTAGGATGCCAGGTTTATGTAGGAAGTCTGGTTCTGCTAAGATTTAATCAAAATCATTCCCAAATAAACCTAGCACTGAGAACATAAAATTAGCATATAGAATCAGAACTCTAACATTCATAGCATTTGAAGGCAAGGATTAAAAACGTTACAAATGTCACTCATTTGTTTGTGCAGTACTGATGCAGGAGGGAGACTCGTATTTTAAACTGAAATAATGATTATATCCTCTGAATATATCACATTGATTAAAGTGGTCTTCTAACTGTCACAGACGTATCTTTAATATATCATCCTAAGCAGGTTCACAAGAGTTAGATACATACAAATCTGAAGTCGGACATTATCACTAAAAATCAGGGTATTTTAAATGTCCAGTTTTGTGACACAAAGTTTGCAGCTTGTTATGGTAAACACTCCACATCAAGAGGGGGAGTATGGGTTTAAAATGCAAATGAGTACAGTTAAATATGGGGTAGACTTTTCGATGGGTATCTAGGAATTATGAATTATTTTTCTATAGTTTTTGAACATAAGATAGTTTCCCACTGGCCAGGGACAAATTTTGTGGTCTTAAGTAGAAGCAGCTCAATAAATGACTTTTCAGGGTTCCAGGAATTCGACTTTAAGCATGAACAGTTACTTACATAGGCACCTGATCTGGTGACTTTCTTTATTAAATGGGCAATTAGGTAGAATTCATGTATAATTCATTAAAAATAATTATATATGTTGACTAAATAAGGACATGTTACCAAAGGCACAAAAGTGATTTTATACACTGAAACTACATTGCATGGGACAAAGTTGTTATGGGATGATTTTCCCTCTCTGAGTTGACTGATTTTTAAATGTAGTACATCAGGACCTAGAGGAATTCCTTCATTAATATCATAACTGCCACTTAAGTAGACTAGCATCTTTGTAGGGGCTGTCTGTTCCGTTCTATTGTCTATTCTTGCTTTGGTAGCACACACTATAAATGGTTACAGATGTATAATAATGTAAATATTTGATCTGGAGTTCTGACACCACATTACTCTTCTGCTATGGACTACATGTTTGTGCCCCTCCAAAATTCATATGTTGAAACCCTCACCCCTAATGGGATGGAATTAGGAGAAAGGGTCTTTGGGAGCTAATTATGTTTAGATAAAGTCATAATGGTGGCGCTCCACAATGGGATGAGTGGCTTATACGAAGAGAGGGACTAGAGCTTGCTTCTTCTGCCATGTGAGTATACAAGAAGATGGCTGTCTGCAAACCAGGAAGGGAGCCCTGTCCAGACACTGATTCTGCTGGCACCATGATCTTGGGCTTCCCAGCCTCCAGAAGTGTGAGCGACCCAGTCTATGCTACTTTTGCTATAGCAGCCAAACTGACTAAGACATCTTATCTCTTCTTTGTGTAATTCTGACTAATCTCAAGCCATCTCATGATTTTTTTCCAGGTTGGTTTGTTTATTTGTTAATTAATTCAACAAATAATTACCAAACACCTTTTCTGAGCCTGGGACTGTGCCAGACCCTGTTTGGTAGTGGTGAATGAGACAGACACAGTCCTTGCTCTCATGGGCTTTAACTTGTGAGGGGGACAAACAAAAACAGGAAAACAGAAAATACCACAGGTTATGATAGGTTTCATGAAGGAAACAACAGGGGAGTTAGGCAGAGAATAACAAGAGCCTGTTTTGCAAGGGTGGCATAATTAGGACTTGTAGTTTTTGTCTGCCCAGCATGCACTTGTTTATTTGCTTGGAGAACCTTGACATGTGAACAAGGTGACGTTGGTCAAACATCACATCCCTTCAAGCCATAGTGATTATTACATCTAACTAGTACAAGCCAGGCCAGTAGAATCAGTTAGATCAGCATCAGTCAGCAGCCAGTCAGGAAAACAGAAACAGTAACATTTATAGTAACAGAAATAATTTAGTATAGACAGCTGGTTAAGTGGATAATGGAAGACAGAAAAGGCGAAAAGGAAACACCAAGATTAACATATGATGGAAGCAACTATCACCCCTAGGCTGGGGGAACTAAGCTAAACATTTGGCGTCATCAAAACTTAGCATTAGCGAGGAGGCCCTGCAGAGCTGGGACCTAGACATCTTGGGAGAAGGCACAGCCAGACGGGGACTGATGCCCCAAGACACTGTTACAGGCGACTTTCAGATCTGTTCCACCAGTGGCAGGTACTGGTAGGAAACTGGACAACAGGAGGAGGAGAGAAGGGGCTTTTTCATGCTTTCTTCTGTGTTTAGTATTCCTCCCAAGTCCTTTGGCACCAACTGCACCATTTTCCTCAGAAATGCCACCATCAGCTATGTCAGCCACGCAAGACCTTTTGGACAGTGAGCACTGCCCTCACCAGGCCTCCTTGGATTATAGCAGCCACACCATGGTGACCAGAGTACTTCCTGGGCCCTGCCCTTAAAGGTTTGAACGTAGCTCTGCACTAATCCTCTGAGACACCTGAGTCTCAGCTGCACAGGGATGCCTCGGAACTGTGGACGCTAGCCCTGCGGCACCGCCTCAGGGCTCCAAGACACACCATGGCTCACCCTCCTCCTCTTTTTGATAGAGGTAGCAATACTGCCTTTTTCCTTCTGTTTCTGCAACCCTAGAGAAGGTTGCAGGTTCTTGGAGTTACTGTTCATCACCCCCTTCTTATTCTTCTGGCTTTCCCATACTTGTGTAATCAGTTTCTTTAATTAAATAGCCACTAAAATTCTTAGGACGGTTTCAGTTTCCCTGATTAGACCCTGACCAAAACAAATATATTGAATATAATTCAAGAAATGAAGGAAGTGACTGAATGTATAGATATGCATATTTGCTGATAAATGACCTAGTAGCCATGCTCAGATCTAAGCCCAGCCTATTTATACAGACATACCCCACTTCATTGTGCTTCACAGATAGTGTGCTTTTTACAAATTCATGGTTTGTGGCAACTCTCCTCAAGCAAATTTATTAGTGTTATGGGGACACTTTGTGTCTCTATGTCACATTTTGATAATTCTCATAACATTTCAAACTTTTTCATTATTATTATACCTGTTATGATGATCTGTGATCAGTAATTTTTGATATTATTATTGTAATTGTTTGGGGATGCCACAAACCATGGCCATGAAAGACTGCTAACATAACTGATAAATGTTGTGTGTGCTCTGATTGCTCCACCCATTGGCTGTTTCCCGTCTCTCTCTCTCTCCCCAGGCTGCCCTAATCCCCAAGACACAGCAATGTTGAAATTTGGCAGTTAATAACCCTATAATGGCCTTTAAGTGTCCGAGTGAAAGGAAGAGTGGCATATCTCTCTCTTTAAATCAAAAGCTAGATATGATTAAGCATAGTGACGAAGGCATGACAAAAGTGCAGATAAGCCAAAAGCTAGGCCTCTTGCACAGTTATCCGAATTGTGAATGTAAAGGAAAAGTTCTTGAAGGGAATTAAAAGTATACTCCAGTGAACAGAAAAATGATAAGAAAGCAAAAGAGACTCATTGCTGAGTCAGAAAGTTTGAGTGGTCTGGATAGATCAAAGCAGCCACATCATTCCCTTAAGCCAAAGCCTAATCCAGAGCAAGGTCCTAACTCTTTTTAAATATAGGAAGGTTGAAAGAGATGAGGAAGCTGCAGAAAAAAAATTTGAAGCTAGCAGAGGTTGGTTCATGAGGTTTAAGGGAAGACGCCATCTCCATTACCTAAAAGTGCAAGATGAAGCAGCAAGTGCTGATGGAGAAGCTGCAGCAAGGTATGTAGCAAATCTAGCTAAGATTCTTGGTGAAGGTGGTTACACTAAACAATAGATTTTCAATGTAGATGAAACAGCCTTATATGAAATAAGATGCCATCTAGGACTTTCATAGCTAGAGAGGAGAAGTCAATGCCTGGCTTCAGAACTTAAAAGGGCAGGCTGACTCTCTTGTTAGGGGCTAATGCAGCTGGTGACTTTAAGTGGAACAATGCTAATTTATCATTCTGAAAGTCCTAGGGCTCTTAAGAAATATACTGTATCTACTCTGACTGTGCTTTATAAAAGGAACAACAGAGCCTGGATGACAAACAGATGTTATCTGTTTACAGATATCATCTGTCTACAGCCTGGTTTACAGAATATTTTAAACCCACTGTTGAGACCTATTATTCACAAAAAATTCTTTCAAATCATTACTGCTCACTGACAATGCACATGGCTACCTAAGAGCTCTGATGAAGATATACAAGGAGGTTTTTTCTTAATGCCTCCTAATACAAGATTCATTCTGCAATCCATGCATCCATCAAGGAGTAATTTTGACTTTCAAGTATTTTATTTAAGAAATACATTTCCTAAGGCTATAGTTGCCATAGATAGTGAGTCCTCTGATATATTTGGGTAAAATACATTGAAAACTTTCTGGAAAGGATGCACCATTCTAGATGCCATTAAGAACATTTGTGATTCATGGAGGGAGGTTAACATAGGAGTTTGGAAGAAGTTGACTCCAACCCTCACAGATGACTTTGAGGGAATCACCACTTCAGTGAAGTGGTAAAAATAGCAAGAGACATAGAATTAGAAGTGGAGCCTGAAGATGTGACAGAATTGCTGCAATCTCATGATAACACTTAAACTAATGAGGAATTGCTTTTTTGGATGAGCAAAGAAAATGGTTTCTTGAGATGGAATCTACTCCTGGGGAAGATGTGAACATTGTTGAAATGACAACAAAGGATTTAGAATATTCCATATACTTAGTTGATAAATCATCAGTAGGGCCTAGGAGGATTGGCTCCAATTTTAAAGAAGTTCTAATGTGGATAAACTATTAGCAAATAGCATTGCATGCTACAGAAAAAAATATTTTGTGGAAGGAAGAGTCAATCAATGTGGCAACCTTCCTTGTTGTCTTATTTTAAGAAATTGCCACAGCCACCGCCACCTTCAGTAACCACCACACTGACCAGTTAGTACCCATCTACATTGAGGCAAGCCCCTCCACCAGCAAGAAGATTACCACTCACTAAAATCTCAAATGACTGTTAACACTTTTTTTTTTACCAATAAAATATTTTTAAATTAAGGTATATACATTGTTTTCTTTAGACTTACTGTTATTGCACACTGAATAGGCTACAACATAGTGTAAACATAACTTTTTATGCACTGGAAAATCAAAAAATTTCTGTGTCTCACTTTTTTTTGCAGTATTGGCTTTATTGCAGTGGTCTGGAATAAAGCCCACAGTACCTCTAGAGCCCTTCAAGTTCAAAGACAAGTGAATTTACCAATTGTGTTGATTTCTTTTGATGGTTATATTTAGTTGAGTATAATGCTTTCATTTAATTAAAAAAATAAAATTAAAAAGACTAAACTTTTGGGCTTCTGGAAATAATTAACCCAAGGATTCAGCACTTTCAGACAGGAAATACTTCTGTCTGATATTACCTGGGAGATTAAGGTAAAACCATGGTAGGTTTAAGTGATTAGCCTATGGATACGCACAGAAAACAGTGGAGCTTCTGATGTTATTGAAAAATTACTTAGAGCCTAGTAATTGATGGACAGGTTTTTTGTTCACACAATATTTATAATCCCATTACTACACAGGAATTTTTGATAGATCAGCATATTATATATAGATAGATATGTGTGTGTATATATATATGAATGTATGTGTATATATATGAATGTATGCATTACGATACATATACAGTATATAGAGTGATGGTCTCTACTTCTAAGACTTCTATGAAATGAAAAATGGAGGAATATGATAACAGGCATTTTCTTTTTAAAACCTAGCGGAAAACTGAGATTTCAGAGATTTACCTTGTATGGTTAGGTGCTTATAGAGCGGTGTTTTGAAATACTTGAAAACGTTCTCTTTTTTTTTTTTTTTTTTGAGACAGAGTCTCGCTCTGTCTCTCAGGCTGGAGTGCAGTGGCGCGGTCTCGGCTCACTGCAGCCTCCACTTCCCGGGTTCACGCCATTCTCCTGCCTCAGCCTCCCAAATAGCTGGGTCTGCAGGCGCCCGCCACCACGCCCGGCTAATTTTTTTGTATTTTTAGGAGAGACGGAGTTTCACTGTGTTAGCCAGGATGGTCTCCATCTCCTGACCTCGTGATCCACCCGCCTCGGCCTCCCAGAGTGCTGGGATTACAAGCGTGAGCCACCGCGCCCGGGCGAAAACGTTTTTTCAAATTATTAACAAGGCACTTCCCTTTGAGAAGTAAGGTTCACGATTCTCCCCCCACATAAATTCATTTCTTTGAGTGGCTACCATATGCAAGGTTCTAAGCTAAGCCCTCTTCATAATAGCTAACATTTGTGTGATGTTTCACTGTTTACATACAACTTTAAATTTCGTTATCTCCTGCTCACCTATAACTGACAGCTCTTATTTGTCTTTGTTGACGTTACACTTAGTTACTGATTGGCTTGTATAAATTCTTTAAGGGTAAAGATTCTTGAAAAGGTTACATTTGTATAACTCTCTATAATTGATGTCATGTCTCCCTTTTTCTTCCCTTTTCCTTTCCTTCAAATTTATTTGATAACTCATAATATGGCAAATAAAATGGACATTCATCAGTAAAATTTTGTTAAGACAGTAAACTTAATTTTGCTTCATGGACTAACATTCCAGGTGGTATCAAGGATAAAATAAGTGATGTGTTGCTTCTTGCTCCCCATTGTCAAATCATCGGGAACCTCAAAAACTATTATTAAACTGTCTCAATTAAAAATGCCAGTTTGGGGATTTGGAGGGGCTATAATTAGACACCAAATAGTTCTATCAGAGAGAATATTTTTCAGTACCAGAGTGAATATAGTATAGATATTAATTTTATTAGACTTCACATTTGCTGTATGTTACTAGGACACACTTTAGTAATTTGAATATTTGAAACATTATTTTTCATGTTCGGCTTTATATAGACAGCTTCTCCAGAGTTTGTTTATTATAACCTCAGGGATTGATTTAATGGAAATTAATCCCTTTAATATCTTCATTTAATGGTTCTGAAATATCCATGATATTCATTCTTGAAATTTTTTGTAGAATTAGAATCCTATTTTTAAGGAAGTGTGCTCTGCAATTATTTTTAGAGGCCCACATTTTAATGTCCAATCTTAGTTTACACTATAGTTTACAAGTTTCCTTCATAGTCCTAAAAAAGTTAAATAATAACCAAACATATCTTCTTTTTCTGAATATCTTTAAAATATATTTTTTCATTTACAAAGTTAACATATAATTATTAAAAAATTTTTAAACTATAGGAATGTAAGAAGTAAAAAGTGAGCTTCCCATAATCTCAACACACAAAGATGACTTCCCTTAACAGTTCCTATCCTTTCATATTTTTCAGTATGCATAGTTCTGTGTGTATACACATCGTATATGTATTAGTGTTTGTATTCAAACTTTACATAGTGTTCTGTAATCAAATATTCTCAGCAGGTTTTCATGAATTTTTCTTTTACATTAAATAGAGATATACCATGATTTTAAAAATGTTTGGCTGGGCGCGGTCGCTCACACCTGTAATCCCAGCACTCTGGGAGGCCGAGATGGGCGGATCACAAGGTCAGGAGTTTGAGACCAGCCTGGCCAATATGGTGAAACCCCTCTCTACTAAAAATACAAAAATTAGCTAGGCGTGATGGTAGGCGCCTGTAGTCCTAGCTACTCAGGAGGCTGAGGCGGGAGAATCGCTTGAATCCAGGAGGCAGAGGTTGCAGTGAGCCGAGATCACGCCACTGCACTCCAGCCTGGGCAACAGAGTGAGACTCCATCTCAAAAAAAAAAAAAAAAGTTTGTTCATGTGATTATTACTTTTATGTGTTAACTTGAATAGTCCACAAGATGCCCAGATAGCTGATTAAACACTGTTTCTGGGTGTCTCTGTGGGTGGATTTTCATTTGAATTGGTGAACTGCGTAAAGCAGATGGCCAGCCCTAGAATGGGTGAGCATCATCTAATTCACTGAGGGCCTGAAAAAGAACAAAAAGGTGGAGGAAGGTTGAATTTGCTCTCTGCCTAACAGCTTGAGCTGAGACATCAGTCTCTTGCCCTCAGTGCTCCTGGCTCTCAGGCCATCAGACCCTGACTAGAATCTACACCACTGACTACCTGGCTCTCAGGCTTTCAAACTATACCATCAGCTTTTCTATGTCTCCAGCTTGCAGATGGGTGAACATGGGACTTCTCAGACTTCATAATCTCAGCCAATTCCTTAATGTAAATCTCACTTTATATCTATCTATTAATGTCTATCTATCTATCTCTATATGTAGATATGAGAGATATAAGATCTATAGATATCTATATCTACAGAGGAGAGATCCCATTGGTTTGCTTCTCTGGAGAATCCTGGCTAATACTTGTAGTATTGACATTATTTTTTCAAGCACAATGGATTGATAACATAGACTCACGTTTGCAACTTGTTTTTCACATAAAATGTAGTGTGTAAAGTCTTTCTAGATGAAAACATGTATATTTACTTCATTTTGATGCTACACAGTATTCTATTGTATTGATATACCACAATAGAGTGCACTGTCCATTCTTTTCCTGATGGATATTAAGGTCATTTTCAGTGTTCCAAATGACATCCTCTTGATTTATTTCTGTGTACTTACACAAATATAGAGTAGATTTCTGAGTTATTGAGTGTGAACAATTAAAATTTTGATAAGTATCACCAAAGTGCCTTTTGGAGAATGTACATAAATAACAACCTGCTATTAACTCTGGGTATTATCACTTAAATATTTTAGGAAAACAGAGAGGTAAAAATGAGGTAGTGGTTTTAATTTTGTATTTTCATTATTATTAGTGATTTTAGGTAGTATTATATTTATCAACATTTTATTGTTTCTTATCTAAACTACCTGTCCTTATCCACTGCTAATCTAACTTTCAGTTATTTTCCATTTTGTTTACAGATCTCTCTTCTCCTTATGTATAGTAAATTGTTGTTTGTATATTTTCAAAATTTCTTTTAATTTTATTTATAAATCATTCAGTAAACTAATGAGTAAATGAAGGACTGATATAAAATATTAAAAACCGGTAATTAAGTAAGGCATGTTAAGTTCATAATAGGCACATGTACCCAGGCTGCTGCGGGATCATAGAATAGTGGTAGCTAGAGCTAAGTGGAGAGAAAGAGAAGGCCAGCTGCACCAGATGAAACCTGAGCTGTGTTTTAAAATATGACTAGAGGCCAAGTGCAGTGGCTCACACCTATAATCCCAGTACTTTGGGAGGCCGAGGTAGGCAAATCACGTCAGGAGTTCGAGACCAGGCTGGCCAACATGGTGAAACCCTGGCTCTACTAAAGATACAAAAATTAGCCGGGCATGGTGATACGTGCCTGTAATCCCAGCTACTCGGGAGGCTGAGGCAGAAGAATCGCTTGAACCCAGGAGGCGGAGGTCACAGTGAGCTGAGATCATGCCACTGTACTCCAACCTGGGCAACAGAGTGAAACTTCATCTCAATAATAATAATAATAATAATAATAAAATATGGCTAGAAATTGTTACATCAAAGAAGATGAAGAAGTTGTTCTGGGAAGAGGACGCAGCAATCCAGATGGAAGACAGCAAGGTCTTTTCTGGAAATTACAAGCTGTTCACTTTGCCTAGAGCAAAAGGTACTGTACAGAGAGCTATGACACAGAGAGCTATGAGATGGGGTTACAGAGAGGGAGAGGGGCCATTTATGAATAGCTTGGTATGTTAAGATAATGCATTTAAGCTTTACCCTGAAAAGCTGGGGAGCCATCGATGTGTCTAGATTTGGATTTCAAGAAGACTGGTCTAACACAAATATAAAAATAGTTCAGAAGGAGTCAGTCGGGATGCAGGAAGACCAGGTTGTGTTGAGGCAGACATTAAGTTTTTCATTGTCATAATCATCAGGGCTCAACATAAAATCTTTTAAAATTTCTCTGTAATCGGAATTTAGTGGTAGCTCTGGAAGAATATATACCTGGTGAGTGGGGATGTTTGGGGTAGGGGGACTTTTTCTTCTCTTCTGTACACATTTGTGTATATTCAAGTTTTATTTTTCAATCAATCAGAGACTTTAATACTAAAGCAATATTTTTTAGAAACTGCACCAATAACAGATGAGAAAGATCTGACTTGGAAATTTTTTGTGATAAGTACTGAGTGCTTTGATGGACCATCAAATCAGTCTGAAACCAGATGTGAATATGGTTACTAAAAGCTGGTGTACTAATAGTTGGTTACATTAGTATTTTATGGTATTCTAATAAAGAGTGTTTATCCTCTGCTTTATAACAGTAAAATTGTATCTGGAAACAAAGTTTGTTCACTTTGGTTATCAAAATTGAGATGATCAACTTGGACCATGTTTAGGAGAAAGAACTGTGAGAGAAATGACTTAAAATCATATTAGATAAGGAATCATTAAAGAAAATGGTTATAATCACAAATTGTCAAATTGTACACCTTAAACATATGTAATTTTATTGGTCAACTATACCTTAATAAAGCTGGGGAAAAAAGGAAAATGAGTATGTGTTTAGAGCAGGCCAAGCAAGATATTTGATTTCAGTAAATAAGAATATTTTATTAAATTTCTAATAGAAATAGAAACAAGAAATCGAAGTTGCAAGAGGGCAGATTTTTATATAAAAAAGGAAGAAATCAAATGGATGTCACCTTTTAATGCCTAGAAACTGATATCCCTGATGTTTTTGCCAACTTCTCCTAAACTGGCAAAGACTGCAGTATTCATTCATTAACTAATTGTTATGGCCAGTTGTACATGATGAATTCCATAAAGGCCAGCCATACGTATTTGTTCGCAAATTCATTTAATAAGTTTGCATACATTTTTCTCATTAAACAAAACTAACAGGTTCATTTCTTAAGTTGATTGCATTAGATCCGTTTTCAGGTTTTTAAACTAGTACACTAAGTGGTAGTATTAATAATATTAAATAATTCATTTTTGTCAGTATTACCGAATCTCTTCCCAACTTAGCCATAAATAAGTTCTCCTCTCACATACTCTACATGCATAAGCCTAAGTCGTCACTCTTGTCCCCATTGTCTTTACATTTGCTGAAGTTTTATTGTACACAGCTATTGTATTATATCTTCTCACCAACAAAGGTGGAGTGGAGTCAGTTTAAAAAGAGAGCTACCCTACACGGTCTAGTTCAGGGCAAATGTCAAATACCTTAGAAGATAAAATTTTAGTTTCATCCTGTAGACTTGGGATTCTGGCACTTGAGCAGGTTGTAATCACCCTACAACCCTGCGCTAGCCTGCATTAGAATATACTGGACTATGGGATATAATCTGATCTTCTGTCATCTCGGGCTGGTGATATGGTAAGCCCTAAAGAAGACAACACAATTTATATTTTTTCTAGTGACTTTATATACTTCTAAAATGTCTAATGTTTTAACTCTAGGAAAATATTGCTTACCTAACATAATTTGACATTGTTTTGCAAATATGCAGAAGGTCTTTGGTTGGCAAATACATGTATCAGTTCATCTCCAGAGAACAGACCCAACAGGATGTATGTGTGTGTGTGTGTGTATGTATGAGGAGACTGATCACAAGGAATTGGCTCATGTGATTATGAAGGCTGGCA
This sequence comes from Homo sapiens, assembly GCF_000001405.40. Lineage (NCBI taxonomy): Eukaryota > Metazoa > Chordata > Mammalia > Primates > Hominidae > Homo > Homo sapiens. Next base: position 154,335,619 of record NC_000004.12, on the reverse strand, counting down.
AGTCCCAAGATCTGCAGGGTGAGCAGATCCATCAAACTGAGCCAGGAGAGCTGGCAGTGTTGCTTCAGTCTCAGTCCAAAGACCTGAGAACCAGGAGAGCCAGTCGTATAGTTTGAGGCTGAAGACCAGCAGGCTCGAGACCTAGGAAGAGCCAATGCTTCTATCTGAGCCTGAAGGCTGGAGAAAAACCAGTGCCCCAGGTTGGGAGCAGGAGCCATTCTCTCTTAGTCAGCTTTTTTGTTCTATTCAGGCCTTCAGTGGATTGGACCAGGCCTGCCCACATTAGGGAGGATGATCTGCTTTATTCAGTCTACAGATTTAAATGTTAATGTCATCCAAAAGCACCCTCACAGACACACTCAAAATAATGTTTGATCAAATGCCTGGACATCCTGTGGCCCAGTTAACACATAAAATAAAACATCACAATACACTTAATAGACCAGGTGTTACTATTGCTCATCAGTATTTATTACATGTTATCTGTTTACCAATGTTTTCTTTTCCCTACCCAGGAATTATTTACTTAACATTACCTCTTAGTCATTTGGAATCTACCACACTTTCGTTGATGGTCTCTGCTCAAGACGGTGGTGGGCTCACAGCTGTCATTAATGCCGATGTCACCATACACATTTTCCAGACAACTCTGGCACCTGCTGAGTTTGAAAGGCCTAAGTACACTTTCTTAGTTTATGAAGATGTGCCTGAAGATAGTCCCATTGGAACAGTGAAAGCAAGAGAGCCCTTGAGTAAGTACTTATTTCTTATGCTGCATGGAATTCCATTATTGGAACATTTCTTGTTTTTTTGTAGGCGGTACAATCTTGAATAATTTTTTTCTTCTTTCCACGCAAGTCAAAACAAGGGAGATAACACAAACTGTGGCTTGCTCTTTGTTCTTCCAACATTGTTTCTGTCCATCCCACAATTTTTTTTCTGATCACAAAAATAATAGGCATTTTAAAAAGAATGTTTAAAATAATACAGATTATAATATACAAAATATATGTCTCCTATAACCCACTCACAAAAACACACACATGTACACACAATTTACAAATTTTTGACAAAAATGCATCTTTCTATATTTGTTGTTATAGAGCTTCTTTCCCCACTTAGTATATACTGAACAACTTTCCAGATAAATGGATGCCATTCTGTTTCCTTAAAAGACAGTTTATAGTGTTTCAACTTAGATATGTTTTATGTTTACATTTGCTACCAATTTGAAGGATTTAAAAAATCTTGCTAGTCCAAATAGTACTTGAGCAAATAGCCGTGTGTGACTTTTTCACACCTGTAGAGGAACCTCTGCAGGATAAATTCCTAGAAATGAATTACCTTTCCAAAGAGCTTGTCCTCCTCCTAGTCCCCTCCTGTTCCTTCCTCTCTCCCTTCCCTCAATCTCTATGGAGAGTATTTGCCCTTCATAGGTAGATATAATAGAGTAACATCAACATAAATTGAACTTGACTTCCTCAAATATATTTAAAAAAAGGTATTTGAATTATTTTCTGAATATCTTTCCCTTTTATCTAATGCAAGAGGGATGAAGGAAGAGAGTGAAACCTGTGGCTTGCTCTTTGCCCATTGGACATTCTTTTCGTACACCAAAAAAATTCTTAAAACCGTGTGTCCACTTTTCCGCAGGCTTTGGAGAGTGGAGAAAGTAAGACATTGCACAGCAGTCTCTGTAGATGGAGAATATACAATCATGCGTCCTTAACGATGGGAAATGTTTTGAGAAATGCCTCATTAGAAAATTTTGTCAGTGTGCAGACATCACAGAGTGTACTCACACGAACCTGGATGGTGTGGCCTACCAGACACCTAGGCTAAATGTTACAGTCGATTGCTCCTAGGCTACAAACCTGCACAGCATATTACTGCACTTAATACTGTAGGCAGTTGTACCCCAATGGTAAGGATTTATGTATGTGAGCACAGAAAAGGTACAATAAAATACGGTGTCAGAATCTTACGGAACCATCATAGTATATGTGATCCATCATTGACTGAAGTGTCATTAGGCAGTGGATGACTGTATTAACATTTCAATTTCTGAGTTTCCAGTGGGTCCACCCTTTTGACATACAGTGGTTGTCCCCTCTCTCTTTTTCAGACTCCTCAGAACCAATCTTTTACAGGATTTCTTCTGGTGATCTCGGCGGAAAGTTCTCCATTCACCCGCGGCTGGGCACTATTCGCACCCGGAAGCCCCTGGATCACGAGACGCAGCCCGTGGTTGTGCTCACGGTGCAGGCGCAGCTCGGCAGCGCCCCAGCCTGCAGCAGCACCGAGGTCAACATAACAGTCATGGATGTCAATGACAACCACCCAGCGTTCCTCAGGACCTCGGATGAGATTAGAATATCCCAGACCACGCCCCCTGGCACAGCCTTGTACCTCGCACGTGCGGAAGACAGAGACAGTGGGCGGAACGGACTCATCCGGTACTCCATCGCCAGCCCGCAGCCAGGCGTCTTTGCCATCGACAGAGCCCTGGGGGTGCTGTTCCTCAACGGCAGCCTGGGCGCGGGCGAGCAGCGGGAGCTCACGCTGACTCTCAGGGCCGAGGACCAAGGCGTGCATCCTCAGGCAGCCCTGCTGGTGCTGACAGTCGTTATCGAGAAACGCGAACACAGCCCATCCTGGACTTTCGAACATTTGGTCTATCAAGTGGAAGTCAGTGAGTCTCTCTCACCGATGACACAAATGCTGCAAACACAGGCGCACCCACTTGGCCCCCAGCGTGCAGCCTCGCCTCTTAGGTACTCGCTGGAACCCAGCGTAGACTCTGCTATGTTTGGAATCCGCCCTTACACGGGCTGGATTTATTTGCGGCGACAGTTTGACTATGAATCCACCCAAACATATAATTTTAGAGTGTTTGCTTGGATCCCCGAGGACGGATTCTTGCAAAATGTGAGCACTACAGTCATTGTTCGTGTCTGGGATGAGAATGACAATTCCCCCACCTTCTTGCATGATGTGTTGTTTTTGAAAGTCGAAGAGAGCCCTGTTCCCCAAGGGGTAATAGGCAAAATTACAGCTATTGACATGGACTCTGGAAAGAATGGACAGCTATTATATTTCCTTTTGTCTGATGGAAAATTCTTCAAGATGAATCCTAATACAGGTAGCACTTCATAGTTTCCACCTATTCCTTTAAAATGAGGGTTCAGTACTATCACACTCGTCTTTAAGTAAAAATAAAAATAAAAAATTAAACAAAATCAGGATTGAGAAAACTCAAGTCGTTAGGTATAGCATTAGTGCATACATGCAATTGAAATAATGGTTTTTAATAAATAAGGTATTCGATTACTCTATTGTGAGGTCTTAAAAATGGATTAAAAATTGAATAGAGTTTCACCCATAATAATTCATACTTTCCCTGCATCACATCCCCATCTTGCCAATATATGGTTCTTTTTCTGAACTAGAGGTATAGTCAGAACTGGATTGAATATATCCTTGTGTAAAGGCTAATTTTTTCAACAACCATCCTTTTCCATTTGTAGACATTTAAAAAACGTCAAAACGTATTTTGTGAAATATAAATATCATCAATGTAAAGCTAGACATCAATTCATTGGTTAAGATTTCAAAATCACTCTAAGAATATATATCCTTTTTCTCATTCTGACAGGGGAACCAGAGGAAAAGGGGGAATAATTACAGTGAAATTTTTAAAGTCTGAATTAAGAAATTAAAGATTAAAAGTCACTATATTTTAAAATTTATGTTGTATAAGTTTACGGGGAGTTTATTTAATCCTTACAATGAAACATATCTATACTGCAAATACATACCCGGGAAAACTGAAACTCAGATAGCTCGAGTAGTACACCCAAAGTCATGGAGCTGGTAAGATGAGAAGAAGCTCCCTTTTTGTGCAGGTCCAGCAGGCACCATCTATGTCATAACCTGGGCAGATGGTGCTGCTGCCTTTAGTGGGACAGACTTTGCATTCAGTTCTGATGAACTTCAAGCCTTTGTTCTCAAGTCTCTGTTCTGTGAATTAGGAGAAGGTGACCTTTCACAGCAGATGGAGGGTTTTCACAGGGCACATGGCTTGCCAAGAAGGTTGCAAGCTGCCTTTCCACTCTCATTCACTCCCTAAACTGAGACTCCTGCTGCAAGGGCACAAACCATACAGCTATATGGGATGACCCTGCTTGCACTTTACTTCCATATGGCTAGTTTTCAAGGTCTTCTATTTCACTTGTTTTTTTCTTTAAAATAAGCAAACTACAGTTGATTCCCCCGTGATCTTCCCTCCCCTACAAGAAAACGAGGTGTCCATTCCTAATTTCATTGTATGGCTTTAAGCAAGTAGCTTAAGCTCAGAGCTGCTTCCTTACCATGAATACAGGAGACAATTCCTGACACGCCCTGTGCCATGCTTTGAGGGGTAAAGAGCTAAAGAATATGAAAGGGCTTGGAACACTACGTGCTTGTAAACTGTTCCTCCTCCCAAGGACAGCATGGCAAGGCAGGGTGGAGGGTGTCCTTCAGAGCCTGGGAGACACACCCCCTTTTCATCCAGTTCTCTGGACAGTCCTACAAGTGACCAGGACTTGAGCTCCTGTGGAACCATATCCTGGTGTCGCCCATCCCCAGCTGCAGCCTGAGCTGCACAGTCTTTTACATCCCCGACCTCCAAGGCTGCTGCTTATCCATCAGATTTGCTTTATGAATAAAAATCTGTTTGCCATTCAGAAGTTAAGGTCTTCGGAGGAGAATTATAGTTTGGAATTTAAAAAAAGCAATTGTGTGTATGATCTATATTAAAACCACCGAGTAAACACTATAAATATAGTTTATATATTAACAGTAAACAGTTATCATAAACACTGCATTTAAGCTCACCAATTCAGCAACTTACCTAAATGAGAATTTTCATTTTTGTTCCCTGTTTCCACTTTTTTTTAATGCAATGCTATTTTATTTGTATTAAGAGGAAAAAAGTTTTTAGCCACAGAAATGTTTGTCGGTAGCTGCTTCATGCTCACATTCTCACAGGTACATTTTTTTTTCATAAATGGTGAGGAAATCAATGCTTGGCAGAGCTCTGACAGGCTATTGGACCGAGTGCTTGTCTTCCCAAGGTCCCTGGCAATAGGAAGAGGCACTTAGATGTTATGCCTGGGTCTGCATGGCTGACACATGAGGAAAGTTACTGAAGGTAGTATAGCTCTAGGCAGAAATATTTGAAATAAAGCTTCTAAAGCATTAAGAGTTTTTATAGGAAGTCACTATCCACTGCTACATGTATATTTTGTGAGATAAAAAACAAATACTTGTGTGCATAAAACAAGAACTATTGCCTAAGGGATATTATTTGATTTCCAGAAAGGTATTTAGCCATTATGTTAAAGTAGTAATAACAGCTTCCACTTGTGTCGTCATGTATAGCTTGCACAATACTTTTAAATGTGTGATTACATTTCTTCCTGACAGCAGTCCCAGGCTCAGAGGAGTCATTCCATGTCTGAGATGGGGAAACTGGGGCCAAAGCCAGAACCTGTGTCAGAGCTCACATGCTTTCCATCATTCTGTATAGCAGCATAAAGAGGGATAAGCAGCAGTTTTAAATCTTCCAAATCATTACTAAGTTCCCACGGAGTTTTATCATTTTTATGAATTCATTGTTTATTAGTTCAAATGATCGATGGATGATAATTTGAAATACAAAGAATAACAAATTTAAAGTGACATTTTCAGGAGCAACTTGAGAAAATTTTTTCAACAGTACCATAGAGCCAAACTACTATGTAGATGGTCTTAGAAGTCGCATATTTGCTCAAAGCTTTGTACTTGGTTTTCCTTCTGGAAATGGTTCTGGCCCTGGTGCGCCTGGTACACAGTGCCTGTGTCTTGTTCTGCTCTGTACTCTGCAGGAGAGTTAATCAATTGGGTGGCACTGGATCGTGAGCACCGGGGGCACCATGAGATGACTGTGCTAGTGACAGACCGCGGCTCCCCACCACGAAACGCCACCATGGCGGTTTACGTCTCAGTTACTGACATCAATGATAACAGGCCCTTCTTCCCCCAGTGTCTCCCTGGAAAGGAGTTACACGTGAAGGTTTGTGAAGAAACCTTGCAATGAATTTGTAATATCTTAAGTCATTTGTTTTGAGCACCATCTTGTGGTAAAACCTGTGAATTTATCACATCAGTCTTGGTGTGGCAAAGCATACTTTTTCTAGAAGACCTAGATACTGTGCACATGTTATTTTAAAAGAAAATTTTTAAAAAGTAAATGAATATATGTGCTCTTTGGCATTGTACCTCCAGTTGCTTTATAACAATAAGTTTAGTTCAGCCCCTTGTACACAAACTGAATGGTGCTTCAGGTTAATGCTCAGACATGGCTTGTTTTTCCAGTAGTTTACGTGCATCTCTTTGTGCAGAGCTTCTTAACGGCAATTGATACATGTCTCTAAGATAGTTACTTAAGGGTAGGGGAACAACCTGTAGCTCTAAAGTGGGTAGGTGGAAATCCAGAGATAGTAAAAGTTGATCCTTTTGATCACATGCACCAACTGGCAATTATATTTATATTATCTCATCTTTTTCATTTGTCTTTTTGTATGTTGTATAATATACATAATAAATTAGAATATCAGTTCATTCACATAATTAATAAATATGTTTGGACCTACTAATAATTTTTTTAGTGGATGGGTTATAATAATGAAAAGTTTAGAAGCTACTGTTCCAGAACAATTGAATTAGACATTCAAATTGTGCTCAAATATACATATTGAACAACTCAACAAAAGTATTGAGGAACTCATAACTTTAAACTGATCTGAATCCAGCTTTAAAGAAAAATTCTAACAAAGCAAAATATTATTATATCATCATTACACTTTTTAATCATATCATTAAAATGTCCTGTGGCTTAATTGGGCAGTTGGACTCTAAACATGTAGTTGAACTTCACATGTGCATTTCAACATTGCAGGACAGCTCCTGATAATTGGTATGTCCTGCATGAGTTTTGTTTTCTGAATTAAAGGTTCATACTTATTTTAAGCATATTTTAAGCCATAGCAACCACCTTTCAAAAAATGTCCTAAGAGATGATGAATGAGAATATGCTAGAAATCTTAAAATACACCAAAAATCTAAGATTGTTTAGCAAGTTCAATTTCTTTTTCTTTTGGTCAGAATTAGTTCAGATGCCTCAGATAATTCATTCTAATTGAATAAAAGATTTAATATGTAAGGAGGATTCTTTTCATGGACATACACCCATATAACTTTTACATGGTATGCATTTGAATTATATGTGGATTTTAAGATAGTTTAAAATGTTTAGTATAATGTATTCATTCATTTAAAGGTCCACTGATATTTCTTTTTAAACTTTTGCTGACTCATTTGTAAGCTGTTTGTTTTAATGGCAGGTTCTGGAAGGTCAACCAGTAAATATGTTGGTTACAACTGTGTTTGCAAAGGATCCTGATGAAGGAAATAATGCAGAAGTTACATACTCAGTATCTTCAGGTAAAACTTACTGTTCATACGGGATTAAGAACTTTTAGGATTTCTGCTTTCATTTATCAACTATCCCCTTCTGGGAAAAGAAGTTCTATTTTGATTACTTTGAATGCTGTAGTTAGTTTTGAAAAAGCACCAAGTTACAAACAAAATACATTTGCTATTGTCAAGAACTACTTTCAGTTTTTGAAAAGTAATTTAAAGTTTAATAAAAAATCAGAGTAGCTTTTTACGTTCTTAATAGAAACCATTCATCTTTAGTGAGTAATTTGCAATAATGTGAAGTACAAATTTACTTTTATTGATAGGAAAGTGTTAGTTAGGGGATAAGAATTGGTATTAAGTATGACTAAGAGTTCCAAGCATCTATAAATCTTTATGAAGACTGAATACTTGTAAGGTCAGAGTAAATCATGCCTAGAAAATGTCACATGTATACATGCGTGTGTGTATGGGGAAATTTTATTGAAGTGGGCTTACTATTATGTTTTCTGTTGGAACATGCAGGCCCCAGATTTTTTCCAGTTATTTACTTTAATTGGCATTGTGTTTTATATAATTTTAAAAGACATTTGGTGCTTTGTCATGTTTGACACAAACATAGGACATAGGAAAGAAGAGATAACATTGCCCTTTCCCACAGATAGTTTGATTGTCTGCATGGAAAACCCAAGAGATGCTATAGGCAACCCATTGGAATTAATAAAATAGCCAATTTTCTGAGAATAATGTCAACATACGAAACTCACTGGTATTTTTAAAACTTAGCAGTTTCCAAAGATCTCATTCACTATGGTGAATTCACAAAGAAAATGAAAGGGGGTAGGAGCAGATCTACTGTGAAACTAATGAAGCTAAGTTTTGCGGTGTTTTACTTGCATAGCCTCCCCAGGGAGCGGGAAGTGGACAATTTATTTTTCTTAAGGAGTGCCTCTCAAACTGTACAAACTTCAAAACAACACAGATAGGATCTGTCTCTATTAGGGGCATAGAAAAAATTCCAATATAACTTGTATAAGACTTTCATACAGAAAAATATAAAATATTAATGAAGGACATAAAAGAATGAAATGAAAAGCTGTATCATGTTCATGCTTGGGAAGACTCAATATCCTAAAGATTACAATTCTTAACAAAAATATCATTATTAATTCAGTATGATTTCAATCAAATGTTCAATGAGGCTTTGATAGAATTTGACAAGCTGATTCTAAACATCATGTGGAAAAGCAAAAGACAAGGAATAACTAAGACAATGTCCAAATAACAAGTGGGAAGTTGGCCTTACCCAGTCTTAATTTATAAAATTTCATAATTAAAACACTATTGTATTGATTCACTCATTAATAAATGGGCCAGTTAAAAAGAGTAGGGGTCACACTTTACACGTACGGAAACTTGACATATGAGGGGGTAGAAAATAAATGGGGAAAAGATGGACTATCAATACGTGATGCTGATATGATCGGTTACCTACAAGGAAAAATATCTCTACTCTCAGCATATCAAAGATGAGTCTTATTAAATGTAGAAATCTTTAACTCTTACAAAAGAAAATATGAGACTGGTTATATATATGGCATTGAGAATAAAGAAGACGGTTTAAACAAGAAGAAATGCAGAAGCTCACAAAGAAATAGATAAATAAAACTAAATGAAAATTGAAAACACTACAAAATATGCCATTGTTTACAATGTGACTATTCAAGTCACAAGTTGGGAAAAGATAATTATAGTCCAGTAACCAATACAAAATTAGTATTCAGAATTTATTAAGAACTCCTGCAAACCAGTAAGAAAAACCAGTAAATAAATAATAAAATTGGACAAAGAATGTTAACAGACAACTCAAAGAAAAGAAGCCTGAATAATTAAAAAGGTTTTTAAAGCATGCCCAGACTCCTTGTTGTGACGACTTCGAAGAACAATGAAGCAATATCTGATAAGACTGGAGATGTGCTTATGCTATACCCTTGCAGTTCTACTTCTGTTACCCTAGAGGAACTCTATATGTGCAGAGTGAGACTGTAACAGGATATTCATTGAAGCATTGTTTCAGTTGTCTGCATAATATGGTATATTCACGGAATACTATACAGCAATGAAAATGAATACAATAGAATTTCATACATGGCAGTGTGGATAAATATTGAATCCAAAGTTAAGCAAGGAAGGCAAGGATTTTACAGAAGATAAAAAGAATTTGACGCAAACAGCAGCTTTGAGTTCATTGCATTGCTTTTCCTTGGAAAAGTTACATATGCAGTTCTTCTCAATACCTCCATGGTCAGGGAGCCAAATTCTTCTCTGATGTTTCTATGCCCATATAAACCATCCGAACTTATTTACCTATAAATGTCTTCCCAAGTTCTCAGGACACTTGAATGGTGGATTATACAGAGGTAGTGAGCCTGCAGCAGATCCACATTTGGAGACAGCCCTTCCTCTGTGTTCCTGCTGTCCCCTCCTTCAGAGACTCTTTCCCCATTCTCCCCCTCTTTTTTTGTCTTCCCTTTTGTTACTTCTCAAATTTCTCTTTTTGTTGTCTTAGCTTATTTTAATCTGGTCCTTGGGTGGGAGAAAAACTGGCTTTGCAGGTATGCATTCAAGAATCTTTCTCTGGCTATGAGGTCAGTTAGGTCAATAAGATCTTTATATCTTTTTTTCCTGTCTTATTTTGGGGTGGAGAAGACAACATAGTGTACCTGTGAAGGACAATGATTGTGAAGAGGGAAAATACACACACACACACACACACACACACACACACACACACACACACGGCTATAATCCTGCTATAATACCACTATTTAAAAGCAAGCAAAGCCATGGCATATGTTATTTATGGATGTATGGACTTCAAAGATAAACCTCAACTTCAGTTATAAAAGTGACTTTCTACGGGGAAAAAGGAGGGGAATGAGATTTGGAGCTATATACAGATCCACTCCTTTATTCATACTCTGCCATTTCTTGGAAAAAATTGAAAAAATATTGAAAATTAATCAGTCTAAGAAGTGATACTTTGGTGTTCATCGAAATATTCTTTTTTTATAAATTAGCTTTTAAATGATAATTGAGGCATGTCAATACAAAAATATGGAGATATATATTACATTATTCCCATCTTTATTTTTTATCTGATAGTAAAATAGAAGCAACTACAAAATATATGGTAAAATAATGAGATGAAAATTGGTATAAGGGGAATAAAGGTATGTATCATATTCATGAATGCATTCTATAGTATTTCTGTGAGAACAAAATCAATGGATTAAAGCATAGAAATCACAACTAATAAATGTTACATAATTGCCTGCTCCATGCTATGAGTTTCTTGAAGACAGGGGTTCTTTTTTATTTGCTTTTATGTCCCTAAAAACTGATAAGGTATTTGGTCCATAGTAATGACTCAGCAACTGTTGAACTAAAGAATGGAGGGGAGCTTCTACTCAAGACTTGTCTGAGGTTTGAACTGTTTGAAATGTTCAGATTTTATTGAAGAATACAAATCTGTTATTTAACTCAAAACCTTATGATACCAATCTAAATTATAAGCATCAATATGAATGTATAGATGTGTGCATGTGTATTCTCCGTGCACTGAAAAGGCCTAGAAGTGATGACAAACCCAGAAACGATGAGCACCTCTAATGTCCCAAATATGTTCTCCCAAAACCATTTTCCACCAAAGGAACCAGGAGTCCTTGGAGAAATGATGATGTCAGGTCATGGTCAGGAAATCTACAAGATGAGTCTGCACCATTTTGTCATACCAGTTACAAGGAGGCTACTAAACACTATTAGGATCATGGAAAGAGACCCGGGAACCAACTTTAAGAAGATCCCAATGTTTGGTGATGGGACAGTTTGAGCATCAATAAGGATAAAAATGGCAATATATTGAAATACAACTAATATGTTTAAATCATGCTTAACGATTTCCAAAACAAAAGCAAGACAAAATTTTACTTATCATAGTTGGAACATTGGTGGATGTTAGTGAACCAACCCATTATTTCAAAAACTGTTAAATAAAAGTTTAACTCATCGAGCATTTATCCTGCCTTTCTTATAATGAACTCCTCTGAAAGTTTCTATTTATTGAAATATTCCAGCTAATACATGAAAAAGGGATGATAAACCAGAATGCAGTGCATATTGAGTATCCTTAATCTAAAATGCTTGGGACCAGAAGTGTTTCAGCTTTTGGATTTTTTTTTTTGGTGGGTTTTTTTTGGGGGGAGGGATATTTGCATATACATATTGAGATATCTTGGGGATGAGACCCAAGTCTAAACATGAAATTCATTTTTTATATACATCTATATGCATAGCCTGAAGGTAATTTTATACAATATTTTTTATAACTTTGTGCATGAAACAAAGTTTTGACTGTGTTTTGACTGCAATCCATCAGATGAATCAGGCGTAGAGTTTTTCTTGTTGTAGCATCATGTCAGTACTCAAAAAGTTTTGGATTTTGGAATATTTTGGATCTCATATTTTTTGGATTTGGGATGTCAACTTGCATTATACTTCACAAAACTTAAAGAATAATTAATGGATCTAGGCTGTGCATCAGTGGGGGGCCAACATCAAAAATAACTAGCTTTTGGCCCATGCCTGTAGTCCCAGCTATCTGGGAGGCCAAGGTGTGAGGATAGCTTGCGACCCTGAACTCCAGGCTGCAGTGAGCTATCATGGCACAATTGCGCTCCAGCCTGGGTAACAGAAAGAGACTTCATCTTTTTTTTTTTTTTTGGCAGCTAGACCTATGCCTCTGAAGGGAAAAACAGCATTTGGGAAGCAGTCGTGCAAAAAACAAACAAACAAACAAACAAACAAAATCCTGACCTGAATCTGGTCAGTTCTCTAGATCTGCCTCCCAATTTAAGGAAAACATAAGAATAGAGGAACATATTATGCTACACGTTGGAGATGCAACAGCAAATCTAGATCATGGAAAATGTCAGGATACAAGTTCCAGTTTATTCAACAAATAAATTGCAAGGACAAATAGAGAGATGGGTGGCAGGAATCCATAGATTAAAGAAATATGCAATATATGGACTTTATTTTGATCTTAATGTAAACAAGAAAAATAAAGAGTATTTATGGGATGGTTGAAAATTTGAAAACTTACTGAATATTTGGTGATACTGTGAACCATTATTAATTTTTAAGGTATAATATGGTACTGTGATGATTGTGTTAAAATATTTATTTTTTAAAGATGCATTTTGAAATATATACAGAAGAAATAATATGACTTCTGGAACTTACTTCAAAAAAAATGGGAGAAGCGAAGTATATACATGGGGAATAGATGAAATAAGATTGGCCATGAGCTGATCATTGTTGAAGCTAGGTGATGGACTCGTGAAAGTTTATTATACCATTTTGTCCACTTTTTTGTATGCATTTTCCATAATAAAAATTTTTAAAAAGTGATGTTTCTTGTCTATTTTTAGTGTCATTTTTGTGTTCATACTCTCATAGAATTCAAAGCAAACAAATCTTCCAAATGATCGATATATTGGATTAATTGATTTTCTGTTTTCTGCATTGTCAATTAACATTCATTTCTTAATTTTCTTGTGTGTGTAGAAGATAGTTCTGATCACTTTAAGATTGACGCCAACAATGGTGAAATAAGAACAACCACAATACTTTCGTATGATTATAGACCTTCCTACAGAATGAGTGTCATTGCCACTGACCAGGGAGTGCCTCCTCTTCAAGGACAGGCAGTTGTTAATATTCAGGTAATGTTGTCACCATAAAATATGGAAGGACATCTAAAGATTTCATTTGACTTTCATTACAAGTTTATAGAGTGAAGATACATGTAATATGTATGTATATGAATATGTATGTATGTTACATGAATACTATTTTGAGAGCATTGCACATAGCATACTTAGCTTTTTGCTATCACTAGAAAAATGATTTAGACCCAAATTATTTTGCAAATTAGCTTTGTACAGTTCTTGACAAGATAATCATCACTATATTGGCATTTATGTTGCTTTGTTTATAATGGACAAAAGGTATCTTTTCTTGTGCTTATTTCTAATGTCAAGGCTCTGGTAAATTTGCAGGAGACACTTGTATGTAAACAAATGGCCATATAATAAATGACATAGATTTTTGTAATTTTTTTAATTTAGAAAAGTAACTCCAGATTCATATTTTAAGGCTTTACTTTAATCATAATGGGCAAACAAGTTGTGAGAAGTCTCCATAGTAAGAAAAAAATTACACCAACCACTCAAAGAAAGATGACTGTGCATAGTTTCTTTGTGTGTGCATGTGATAATCAGAAATATTAATACAGGTATATACAATAACCAAGGATATATATCCACAAGAACTCTGTTTCCAAATTATATTCTTTACTGCTTAAGGGTATGTGGGTTAAGAGAAAAATCTGTATGGTCATACCTCCAGTTTCTTGTTTCAGACAAACAAAGACATATGATACTTAAATGTACACAGATGTTGTCATTATGGATAGATCAGTCTGTAGTATTTAAAATAATCTGGAGAACTAGCTACCCTGCATTCCCATTGAAGAATCACAAGGCTACAGTTCAGCTTAACTATAACATGGCTTTACCAAACTGTTGTTTCACACAATACAGCAAACTGGGAAATAGAAAATTCTGTAGCTGTTATCTCCTAAATATTATGCAGTTTTTGATCTTCTGAGACATACTGGAATTATATAATATAAAAATGACATTTTTCTCACTAATTAACATATGATCACATACATGGAAGGAATTTGCTTTCAAAATAATATTATTACATTTATTCATTAAACTGTTTTAAAAATACCCCAAATTAATATCTCTTTTATTCGTATTTCAGGTGATCCCACTATCCAAAGGGAGAGCAATCATGTCTCAGAATATTAGACATTTAATTATACCAGAAAATTTGAAGCCCACAAAAATAATGAGCTTGATAAAGTCATCTGATCACCTTCAACAACATTATAATGGAAAGTTACATTTTAGTATTGTTGCAGATGATAAGGATGGACACTTTGAAATAGACAGCTCAACCGGAGACTTGTTTCTTTCTAAGGAACTTGATTATGAGACGACATCTCATTATCTTTTCAGAGTGATTACTACAGACCATAGCAAAAACCTTTCCCTGAGTAGCACAGTCTTCCTTAGTATCGATGTGGAAGATCAGAATGACCATTCCCCATCTTTCCAGGATGAGCTCATTGTGATCAGTGTAGAGGAGAATGTTCCCATAGGAACCCTGGTGTATGTCTTCAATGCCAAAGATGATGACGGCAGTTTTTTGAACAGTAGAATACAATACTACATTGAATCCCACAACCCTGGCACGAATCCATTTCTCATCCACCCCTCATTTGGCACACTAGTCACTGTGTCCCGTCTTGACAGAGAAAGCATTCCAACTGTCATCCTGACAGTAACAGCATCTGATCAGGCTGTGAATGTGACAGACCGGCGACTGAGATCACTGACAGCACAAATAGTGATTTTGGATGTAAATGACCACAACCCCACTTTTATTTCTTTCCCCAATGCCCATGTCAAAGAGGATGTCACAGTGGGCTCCTTGGTCCACCACATAACTGCTCACGATCCAGACGAAGGAAGGAATGGAAAAGTAACATACAGCATCCTCTCAGGAAATGAAAACATGACGTTTATGCTAGATGAGTCATCAGGTACAGTGCCCTATATGTCACTTTTAAAAATATTTTATTTTATTGTGGTAAGAAAACATGAGACCCACCCTCCTAACAAAGTTTTAAGTGTACAATACATTGTTGTTGACTGTGAGTTCAATGTTGCACAGCGTATCTCTAGATATTATTTACCTTGCTTAACTGAAACTTTAGTTTCTCCCATTTTCCCTTCCATCCAGCCTCTGACAATCACCACTGCACTCTTTGATTCCATGAATTAGACTATTTTAGATACTTCATGTAAATGGAATAATGGAGTTTTGTCTTTTTGTGACTGGCTTATTTTACCTAGCAAAATGTCCTCAAGATTTATCCATACTGTCACATCTTGTAGAATGTCTTTCTCTTTTAAGGCTGAATTGTCTTCAATGGTATGCACATACCACATTTTCTTTATCCATTCATCTGCCGATTAACATTTTTAGGTTGTTGCCACATCTTAGCTATTGTGGATGGTGCTGCAGTAAACATGGGTGTGTTACTCTCTCTTCAAGATCCTGATTTCAATTCTTTTGTATAAATATCCAAAAGTGGAGTTGCTGGGCCATATGGTAGTTATAGTTTTATGTTTTGAGGAACATCCATACTATTTTCCATAGTGGCTGTAACATTTTGAATTCCCACCAACAGTATACAAGGGTTCCAATTTCTCTACGCCCTCACCAATACTTGTTGTCTTTTTTTTTTTTTTTTTTTTTTTTAGTAACAGCCATCCTAACAGGTATAAGCAATATCTCGTTGTGGTTTTGATTTGCATTTCTCAAATAATTAGTGCCATGGAGCATTTTTTCATATACCTGTTAGCCATTTGTATGTCTTTTTTGGAGATGTTTCTATTCAAGTCTTTTGTCCATTTTAAAATTAGGGTTTTTTTATGTTTAGTTGTAGGAGTTTTTTTATATATATTCTGGATATTAACCCCTCATCAGATAGATGATTTACAAATACTTTCTCCCATTCTATAGGTTGCCTTTTTCTTTGCTGTGCAGAAGCTTCTTAATTTTATGTAATCCGCCTGTTTATTTTTGATTTGTAATCTGTGTTTTTGTTGTCTACCCATGAAATAATTGCCAAGACCCACTTCACAAAGCTTTCCCCTCTGTGTTTCCTTGTAGGACCTTTATAGTTTCAGGTATTACATTTAAGTCTTTAATCCATTTTATTTTGTTTTATTTTTGTATAGTGTAAGATAAAGATACAACTTCATTCTTTTGCATGTGGATATCTGGTTTCCCCACATCATTTGTTGAAGAGATTAGCCTTTTTCGAAAGTGTAGTATTGGAAACCTTGTTGAAGATCAATTGACCATATATGGGTGGATTTATTTCTGGGCTCTTTACTCTGTTCCATTGGCCTAAATGTTTATCCTATGCCAATACCATACTGTTTTGATTATGGTAGCTTTGTAATATATCAAAGCCAGGAAGTGTGATGCCTCCAGCTTTGTTCTTTCTCAAGATTATTTTCACTCTTTGGGGTTCTTTGAGATTCCATTTGAATTGCGATATTATTTTTTTCTATTTCTACAACAAATGCCACTGAGATTTTGGTAGAGATTGCATTGAATCTGTAGATCAGTTTGGGTAGTATGAACATTTTAATAATATTAGACCTTTCACTCTATGAACATACATGTCTTTCCATTTGTATCTTCTTTAATTTCTTTCATCATTGTTTTGTGGCTTTCAATATGTAGGGTACTCACCTCCTCAGCTAGCTTTATCCCTGTTTTCTTTTATTCCTTTTTGTGCTATTGTCAATGGAATTGTTTTTCTAATTTCCTTTTCAGACAGTTCCTTGTTAGTGTATAGAAATGCAACTGATTTTTGTATCCTGCCTTTTCTGAATTTATTTGTTCTAACAGTTTTTTGGTGGAGTCTTTAGGATTTTCTATATATAAGATCATGTAATCTACAAACAGGGATAATTTTACTTCTTTCTTTCTGATTTGGATGACTTTCATTTCTCTTCCTGCCACTTTCAATTAAACCCTCTCATCGCTTGCTTATATTTAACTTTTTCTTTTTTTTCTCTTAAAATGATGGTTCTTAAGATACATATGCTTTAAATATTTTTGACTTCTTCTGTTGTTTAACTTATATATGTATATATGTATATACTTATATAACGTATATATACGTATGCATATATATATAAAATAGACACAGGGTTTGTATTTGGAGAACTAACTTTAATGGTCCTGTTTGTTAATATTAACTATGCTCTGTAGCTAGCTGACACTATGGGCTGAATACACAACAGAAAACTTCTTTGCCCCCATTGTGAGTCCTTGCAGGGTAGGATATGGTACCAATAGTGAATCAGGTAGCAGTATGACAAATCAACAGCATTGTTCAAAGACTTTAGTATGGAAATTTATCTTTGAGATTATACAAACATGTATTCGTAAATATTGGAAATAATATATATTTTTAATGGCTGAATTCATTTGGACATTAAGACCCCTGCTTTTCACATCAATTGTAACATTTCTTTTTTTGAAGAAGCATTTATTCACTGTCAGGTACTCTGCAGAAATGTCACTCACCCTCAACTTTACTTGTCTTGCTGTCACCATGTTGCTAGATAACATCTATTATATGTTTTTTATGTAGTTTGATGGAAGAGTAAATGTACAAATTTTCAGTCTTATGACTTTAAAAATGAACCTCCTACCTGATTTTCAGGGAATATTGAAAAATTAATAAACTCTCATCTTATTCACTAAAAAATAAAGTTATTTCTACATGAATGAAAAAAATCTCAGATATACACCATTTGGCCCAACTGTTAGTTAAAAGCATTATTTGGAATGGAGTTAAATGTGGAGGATTTGGAAGTCATGATTATAGTCTGGCTATATTCCGTTGGAAAATTTCATCAAAATATTTATTAAATCTTGTACATGTGGTTTCATTCTGAGGCATGCATGGACACCACCTAAATGCCCAACTGACAGAGAAATAGTCCAGACACAGGCTGCTGATATCTGTTAGAGCTGAGGCTCTCCAAGGACCTGTTTCAGTAATACTTGGAATGTGTTCCAAGATGGCTAAGAAAGGTATATTTCAGATTGTTAAAAAGAATGGATAAAATTAAACTTGTGTTTTGGTAATATAGGTAATGTGAATCTCTTGAGTAATTGCAGTGACTGTTTCAATGGAGATGTTTTTCAAAGACATAAAATGATAATTGCCAAATGCATTCATATGAGATGGGATTTTTTTCTCTCACAAAACTCATATTTCTTATAAAGAAGACAGTGAGTTTTTTGTGGCTATGGCTGTGAAATATAAAGTGATGAGTAATTATTGAAAAATTATTTTATAAAATAGAATTCCGTAAACTTCTTTCATTATTTCAAGAAAAATTCTTATAAAAGGGAGAAGCAAACAGCAATCCTAAAAGAAAAATGTGATAATTGGAATCATATAATGGCTATCTGTGTGCCAGTATGTATTACATCTGACTTATGTGGTTTATATGCTTAAATGGCAGTGGGATAGAGACACATTTTACTTGTGAAGTGTATTGTCTGAGTTATAACATCTTTGCTTTTTTTTCTTTTTTATTGAGATGGAGTCTTGCTCTGTTGCCCAGGCTAGAGTGCAGTGGCACGATCTCAGCTCACTACAGCTTCCGCCTCCCAGGTTCCAGTGATTCTCCTGCCTCAGCCTCCCGAGCAGCTGAGATTACAGGCACCCGCCACCATGCCTGGCTAGTTTTTTGTGTTTTTAGAGGAGATGGAGTTTCACCATGTTGGCCAGGCTGGTCTTGAACACCTAACCTCAAGTGATCCTCCTGCCTTGGCCTCCCAAAGTGCTGGGATTACAAGTGTAAGCCGCCACACCCAGCCTGAGCCACTACACCTGGCCTGCTCTTTATTGTTAAAAAAAATCCAGTTAACTGAGAATAAATATTAAGAGAGCATAATTCTTTAACAAAAATCAACCGTCTTAAAGAATATAGCCATACCCACATTTTTGTAACTTGGTCGCTTTTATACATGAGGTGTTATGTGACATGAAGATGATATATATTGTTAGTATCCTAGATATTTTTTAAAAGGGAGGTAGATGTTGGCTAGAGAATTTTAATGTAATCCTCTCAGTAGATAATTGCATAACATTGATTATTCTTGAATTGTTTTGTTTGATATAATTTAAATTGAGATGACTTTTCTGACTAAAAATGTTTGCTTTTAATTGTAGATAGTGTATACATTTAAAGATGATTTAATGCAGTTCATATTTTAGCAGTTAAGACTTCTGAATTTTTATTAGGTAGACAAGTTAGATATAAGTGGAGTAAGCATGACTTCTCTAAAGAATATTCATTACATGTTGCTTTTCTTCCATTTTCAAAACAGGCTTACTAACCACAACCTGTCCTTTGGATTATGAAATGAAAACTCAGCATATTCTGACTGTTCTGGCACTGGATGATGGCACACCAGCACTTTCTTCATCCCAGACTTTGACAGTTACTGTTCTTGATGTAAATGATGAAGCTCCAGTATTTAAGCAGCACCTGTATGAAGCCTCAGTGAAAGAAAACCAAAATCCAGGGGAGTTTGTTACCAGGGTTGAAGCTCTGGACAGAGATTCAGGTAATTTAGAAATACAGAAACTGGGTATTTAATGCTTAAAAGAAATTGAAGATTATAATTGACGTAATTTATAATAGTTATGGCTCAGAAAAAATGAACAGTTGCTAGTTATCTCAAATTTGTAATACTTCTTTCATTTGCATCCACACAGAAACACATACACCTGTAAAGATACAGATATATCACATAAGATTTGCTTGTATTAACTTTATTATTATTTATATTAGGGTGATACACACCTTATTAACATACACTTTATTGATTTGATCTTGATAATCGAAGTATGGACAAAGCATCACATTTCTTTCAGAGTATAATAGTTAGATACATTGAGAAGAAGAAGAAGATAAATGGTTCTTTATTTCCTCTGTATATATAGCATAGTGGAAGAGGCATGGTGCTGGTGTCAGACTGCCTAGATTTGAATCCAAAACTACCATTTACTTATGCCATGTGACCTTGAACAAGTTACTAATTCTTTCTATTTCCCTACTTATCTGTGATATGGAGATAATAACAGAGCCTAAATTATAGTTTGTTATGAGTATGAATGAATTATTACTTGTAAAGAGCTTAGACCAGTGTCTGACACAATAAATGGTCAATATGTTAACTTTGTTACTATTTTTACTATTTTCAAACACTATGTCCAGACAAATGACTTCGGAGTAAACAATTACTATGGCTAGGAATTTATAAATTTCTTAGACTTGCTTTTCAACATCACTGTGGCTGTTTTGGCAACTAAGGTTCAGCAACTTTAACCATATTCTGTTTTTATCTTAAACAAAATAATTACAAAAATTACAGTGCTGTGTTTCTTATTCACAGCACATGCTGAATTTTTCCATCTGAACTAATATGAATAGTTTATATTCCCATTCACATGTGAAACACTGAACTAATGTAAATATGAATATTATATGAATATAAACTATTCGTGTTAGTTCACCTTAATAATCCGGTCTTTTAAAATTTACGTTTGTATATAGCAAATGGCATTATATATCAATGTAATATTTTGTTATATTTTTGCAAGAATTGTAATAGATATTTTTATGGAAATAGTATTAATAATAGCATTTCCTTGTACATTGTTAATTTAAGGGGCAAAAGATACATTTACTTGAAATTTTAAAGTAAATTATAAAATATTTGAATACTTTGCCCTCTTGGAAAACACTGTCTTTTAATGAAATGCATTTTACATGAATTTGTATGTGATGTTACTAACACTCTTTTCAAGGGCTAACCCAATTTTCTGTCTTTGACCGGAGTGGGGCAGTGTGATCAAAGAGTTTTTCTAAGAGTTGAGTCCGAAGCATGCTAACGATTGTTTGCTCCAATCTGTCCTTAGAACTTAGTACGTTTTTGGCAGTATTCATTTTTAGGGTGTCAGAAACAATGAAGAATATACATAAGCTTTGTGTTTCACAATAATTTTAGCTCAGTAAAGTTCTCTTAGAGTGTTCTCTGTAGAAACAGAGCAATACAGGGTGCTGAGCAATGCAAAAACTACTTCCCAAAGTATATAGACATATACTGAACTTATTGCTGATGTTGTGTGATTTTGCAAACAGTAAGGTATGTAAAATGCTTCCTCCCTTTGGCCTTGCTTTATTTTATGAATTTTATTTTTTTGTAATGGATTCTACTAAAAAGGCTCCTCTTGCTTTAATGCTTGAAGAGGGAGAAAAGAATTTCTCTCAAAATTTGCATATATTAACCAAAGAAAATTACCATAAATATATTCTTCTGATTTTTACTGTCAAGTTGCCCAGTGTTAATGTTATTTTCATTTAGAATGAATTATCTGCAACCTGCTAATTATAATTGAATTGAAACTTTATTATTCTAGAGATTATGGTATGCCAACTGAGAATTTAGGTACAAAATTATTGTTTTTCTGAATTAATGGATGATTGAAATACACATTAACATCTTCATGAGTCTCATGTAACCTTACATATTTTGGAGACAATTTTGATTTACTGGAAATCTCAGTGTTTTTAATGAGGCCAGGTCTGTTAAGTAGGTGGTTATGTAAACACATGTGAATATTTGTGTGTATGCACGTACTTTCGAATATATTTTCCCTCAATCTTTTTTTTTCTTTTTTGATTATTGGGTTAAAACAATGAAACAGGATTATGCATGAGAATTAAATGACTTAGTCAAGATTTTAACATAACTGGCATTACACTGGAATTTATGAATGGTTTACTTTATAGTACGTATTTTTTTAAAAAAATACCACAGTGTTCCTTAATACTAGAGAGCTTAACATGTGTTTTCTAGCATTCTACGATGCAGTTTTTAAAAATGTAAGTATACAGTGTTATTTGGCATTCAAAGCCCACAGGGATTTGAGCACTGAATGTTTATGGTATATGACTCACATTAGCTCTAGCAGGAGTTTCTTCTTGTATCAAAAGGAAAAAACAACTACCAGATTTTAACTAAGGTATTAAAACTGCTGCAGCATTTGGTGCCATCAACAAGAGCGCCATTGTTAGTGAAAAAAGAGCTCCCCCTGCAGTGCCCTTCCCCCACTCCCAAGAGGAAAGGGTGCCCCACTGGGAATACCACTCACATTCGCTCAAAGGTGTCAAACGTAAAATAACTTAACAGTATATTGCCACACTGAAATATAGAATTCATTAGTGGATGTTATTCTCTATTCCATAAGAATGTATTCTGTTTCTGGGGTCATCTTCAATAAACTACATCTGGTTTTCTGGAATCCCTGGTGCTGCACTAGGTGTACAACTGCACCGCCTAAGTCTACACTTGGAGCCAGGGAGAAACACCTTATTTCATCAAATCTAAGACACCATTAATTGTAAGATGCATCTAATTTTGGAATACTTCCACTGGGCTGATAGCTTTATCTTCATAGGAAGTTATAAGGTGCCATTCTGTATACCCTTTAGAAGGTGACTTATTTGTGTGTATATCAAAGAATAAAGGATAAGGATGCTAAAATATCTGAATCTATGGCATTTTGTAATAACAATTTCTCATTCGAGTGGACAATACTATCTGGCTATTCAGTTTATTTTAAATGTTTCTTTATGGAGTGATATTTTCTCTGTATCATATACTCAGGCAAAATATCCATCAACTTTCCTCCGTACTTCATTTAAAGAGAACATATCCCTGATCCTTTATTTTTATTTATTTGTGTTTTATTTTTATACAGACGGAATCTCGCTCTGTTCCCCAGGCTGGAGGGCAGTGGCCCAATCATGGCTCACTGTAGCCTCAAATGCCTGGCTTCAAGCCATCCTCCAGCCTCCACCTCCCAAAGTATAGGGATTACAGTTGTGAGTCACAGCGCTGGGTCTCTCTGCACTTTATTAGTAGTTATTCATTGACGTGCCCCGTCATTCTTTCCCCAGTGGCATTTGTCCATCATTTTAGATTCAATCTAATTAATCCAGGGGCACATAAGGAGATCCATAGGATTCAAGCACAAGCCGATCTTACTGGCTTTGTGCCATTCCAGCAACCTCGATTATACTGAAGTCCCAGAGAAGGATTTAAAGGCGGGTTAGATTATAGAGCATTTCAAAAGTTGAATTTCCCAATCCAAAGCTATGGAACATTTGCTAGAGAAAGTCACAACAGCATGCTAATTGAAGCCATCGCCTACTTAGGCTGCAGTATTTCTGCTAATCCCTTAGTGCTGTTATGTTTTCCTTGGCTCTCTCTATATAAATTTTCTCTATATATATATTAAAAAATTCTATTATAAATATATTTGCATAAATATCAAAAATAAGGAGATGAAAAAGAATAAGGACCAGTCATAACCTCACTCACTCAGAGACAATCACTGTTAAAACTTTGGTATATATTCTTAATACATTTAATATATAGTATTATAATTGTGTAAATGTTTATTCACCTGCTTTTTCTCTAGGCTGTGAACTTCTCCTGGATTCAGCACTTTTTATCTATTAATACATTTATTCCAGGTTCTTAGAGTAGTGCAAGATATGACATAGGAACTCAATAAATATTTTTGACCATATGGTCTGAGAAACTGAAGCATGTATGACATAAGCTTCCTCAAGCTGCCCTCACTGTTTAGAATTTATTTATTATTTATTCCTTTATTCAATCAACCAGGCATAATTCTATTTTTGCTTTAGAAATGCCTGATTGTGAGGACATTGTACAGTCGAGGCATTATACAAACAAGAATCTTGGCTGGGCACGGTGGCTCATGCCTGTAATACTAGTGCTTTGGAAGGCCGAGGTGGGAGGATTGCTTGAAGCCAGGAGTTCAAGACCAGCTTGGGCAACATAGCAAGACCTCACCTTTACAAAAAAAAATATAAAAATTTGTTGGGTATGGTGGCATGCTCCTGTAGTCTCAGCTACTCAGGAAGCTGAAGTAGAAGGATGGCTTGAGCCCAGGAATTTGCTGCCGTGAGCCACGACTGTGCCTCTGCACACTCCAGCCTGGGTGGCAGAGTGAGATGCTGTCTTAAAAAAAGAAAAGAAAAGAAAAATGATCTTCCTAAAAATAACACACCCCTGGAAAGAATTCTTTATTAAATCCCCATAGTTTGAGGAAGAGGAGGATAAAATTTTATCCCTTTTAGCTTAACAATCAGCTTTCCTGTCTGTTCTCAGCTCCTAGCACTCTCCCACCTTTTACTCTAGGATAGAATTCTGGAAAACTTTTTCCTTTAAAGGACCAGATAGTAAATATTTTAGGCTTTGTGTGCTTTACGGTCTCCTTTGTGCAACTCTGACACTATAGCAAGACAGCAGCCATAGTTAATATTGTGTGTATTTCAATAAAACTTTACAAAAACAGGGAGCAGGCCAGATTTGATCACTGGACTGTAGTTTGCCAATCCCTAGTCTAATGCATGTGTCTAATTAAGACATCTAAGTTACTTGCTACTTTCTGCTCATCAGATCCAATTATCATGATGTCATCATAATATCTCTACCAACTAGATGATGTCAACAGTGGGAGAGTTTGCATAAAGATGGGTGAAAGCCAATGAGTTCTGATAGTTCTTATAAATTAGTATCAAATGTTGCTTCTCAAAAGGTGGTCCCTGGGACCATTGGCACCATGATCCATCCCCAGTCTACAGAAAACAGCACCCATTCTGCTTTTCAAGGATGCTGATGGCCTTCTAATATCTTTCCCAGTGTACTTATGAAGGTAGGGTCCTCTGATCTCTTGGGAAAGGTAGTGGGAGTGTTTGGTGAGCATGTCATACATGATAAGTTCACTCTAACATTCTCATTTCCTTAAGCTTTGGATTATTTATAGTATTCAAAAGAAGACCTAATGTCTCAACCTCAGTGATTATAGGCTCCCATTGAATCCAACCAATCAAAGAAACTCTCAAGAGACACAGCTCTATGGGCTAACACATTAAATTCTGACTCTCTAGCAAACAGTATCAATATTGTCTATTTATCTATCAATAAATCCAGCCTAAACCAATGTTATATCTTCCTAGGTCTCACATTCTTAGAACTGATTTCCACACATATTCCCCAGGTTTATGCCAATATAACTTAGAAAATATTATTATTCTTTGAAACTATAAGCTTCTTTGACTGAGTCAGATTTGCACTTGGCTACCTGAGTTATGTTGAAATCTGACTCTGGTTATGGGTATTTACATGAATAGTCATCTCCTTACAAGGTATTTATTATACCTGCCACTCAATTTGGGTCTGATCTTCAGGGAGGTTAATTTTAGGCCTTCTATATAGGAGCTTTCCAGCTTTCTAACCATGACTTGAGTTACAGGTTTAAAGCCTCAGCTCATAGTTATCGTTCTATAATTTCCTAGTCCTTTGAAAAACAGTCTTCTGCATCATAGTCCTTTTTACTATTATGTGGTCAAAGTCAGCGCCATTTGGTTCTCTAAGGAATTTGAGTCCTTTAATAGTCACTTTATCACAGTCAAACATGATTGATAATTTAATTAATCGTGACAGCACTCCAAGTATTGAATTCCTAGCATTCCATTTCCCATGGTTAAGGAACTCATAGCTGCATTCAAAGCCTAAGACATAACCAAACCAATCTCAGAGTCCCTGTTACCTGAGACCCAATTCTGGTGCCAAGTGCTCTATCAGCCATGTTTAGTCAGGAAGAATAGATGCTACAAACAGGTGTTGGATGAATGAGTAAGCAAGAAGGGAATACTGAAGTAACCAAAAAGACAAAAACAAAGCTCTAGAAGGCAGCTACCACCCCTAATACTGGGAAAGAAGAAGATGTTTGGATTATCAGACCCTGGGAAGGAAATGAGAGAGGGGGCCTTGCAAAGGAGTAGCAAAACAGACTGAATAGCATTGCTGATGACGACAGTAGGTAACTAGGAAGAAGGAAGTCCCATTTTCTGTCCTTCTGACTTTTGGTCTCCTTCTAGTGTCCTTTTGTGGCAAACCCTAGGAGAGAGGTAGTTGGCAATGGGGAATGTAGTTTGCAGATCCCCAGACCCAGCATCACAGGGTGGAGTACAGAAGAACAGATTTGGATCTGAGACACTATGGTTTAATAAATAATACACCATGTGAAGAACTGAAAAGAGCAGGCAGAGGGAACAACCACTACAAAGGCCTCAGCAGAAAGATGCTTAGTATGTTCAGAGAACAGAAAGGAAGCCAGTGCGATAAGAATATAGCAAGGGAGCAAGTCCATGAAAAGAGGTTGGAAAGATATGCAGAGCCCACATCATATGGGACTTTGTGGACTGTGGTAAGGTATTTAGATTTTCTTTTGAACTCATTCAAATGTTCTTTCTTCCCTCTTACCCATTAACTCCTATTCATCTTTAGGGTTTCCGGTTATATCAAGGCAACTCAACTTACCCATCATGTCTATTCAGGGGGAATTGTCACTGCGAGCTTGCTTATCTGTATCCGGTGCTATATTGTAAGCACCATGAGGGTAGAGAATTTGTCTGTTTACTAGCAGTTATATTTTTAGCACATGGTATGGTATCTTGGCACCTAAGATCACTCTTTATATATGTTAATACAATGAGATAATTAATGACAAACTATATACCTGAGATAAGTCTTCTATGATCCACTCCCTCAGTGATTTCATATATTCCATCACACTTTCCATTACTCGTTGATTTAATCATCTTCCACTCTAGAGAGAAACTCTGAGGTCCAAGGTAACTATTCAGTGGTGCCTTTCCAGTACCTGACATTCAGTATCTGTGCATTCATAAATGAACACATGAATGAATAAATGAATGAACCAACCAAATAGATATGGATGCAAACTGAAGACATGAATGTATAGAGTGAGATGACAATGGCGTGATGGCCAGCACATTGATTGTCAATGCACCCCACTCCTGGAACCAGGAGAAAAATATGTCATAGAGAAACAGACAAAAATATTATTTTTCTTTTATTTTTTACTTCTCTCTTCCTCATGCCTTCCTCCCCTCCCTTCTTTTGTTTCTTTGTTTTTTGTTTTTTTTTTTTAAATTGGTCAGCCATATATGATGCCACAGAGAAGACAAGTTAGGTAAGAACTAGAAATGGCCAGTAGACTTTATAATCAGAAGGTCATTGGTCACTGTAGAAAGAGTAACTGGCAATGGCATGGTTTGAAGCTAGCTGCAGACTGAATATGATTTTCAAAAGAAATTTGGCCACAAAGAGGAGGAGATAAAAGCCTAATTCTTCTTATAGCTAGAGAAGGATATAATTTAAGGAAAAAAATTTTAGGAGAAAGACTAGACCTGACAGGAAAATTCTGAGAGTGTGTTTGAAGAATGACTTTTGCCATTGAGACAGGGAGTAAGGGGTACAGTTGAGTACAGGTGCAGAGGGTGAGGGAGTTCTTTCCCAATGCCTCCTTTCTCTCTGGGAAATGGAAAGGGAAGTGATCTGTGAGAGTAAGCCAGGTAGTGGTCGGGTAGGAGACCTGAATGGAAGAGGGGTGATTATGGACACCTGGAAAGATTGCCAGATACAACAGCACTGCAGTTGTCTCAATCCATGCTGTTGTGAAATTTTCTGTAGCCCCAGCCATCTGTTGGATATTCAAATGGAGTAAAGAGATGGTTGGAATGATCCCAGGCTGAAGCTTTGCTGGAAATCTTTGGCAGAAAGCCCCAGGACCTGAGAAACTATGCAAGGTTGCTAGAGGAATAGCTCATGGGGCCGGACTGGAGAAGGAGAGAAATGAATTGAGGAGAGGTATCCTAGAGCCGGAGGATTAAGAAGTCATGGGACTGCAGGTCTTGAAGTCTAAGAGAAGGTAGATATGTGTGTGTGTGTGTGTGTGTGTGCGCGCGCACATCTGTGTATGTGTGTATTCACACTGGTGTGCATACACACATAGGTATGGGCATATATACACAGGCACACACACACACATATCTTTTAGTGGGCATGTGTCATAAGGATATCACTAAATATCTTCAGATCCAAATTTCCAATTTGCTCAGTGAGGTGATAGAATGAGGCCAAATAACCTCTTTTTAATTTTTATTTTCTTAATTCTCAAGTTTGATGATGCTATGTTTGTTCTGTAGGATTATAAGGGTGTAAGGGTGTAAGGTGCAAGGCACTAGTTAAATTCCAAATAAGCCATAGTAAAATACATTTAATTTACTTCCTAATTTGTAAAGGGTATGAAGTTTGGGGTATGAAAAATGTGTGTATGCAGACTACAGTTATAGGTAAAGATCTTATTTATCCTTAATAATATACTAGGAGGGTTGAAGGTTAATGTATTGTTATCTTAGGGATAAAAAACCTGTATAGAATAATAGAACAAAATAAAATCTGGAAGTTTCTAAAAAGTCAGAGAAATATTGAGTAGAGTGGTGAAGCACATTAGAGGATAATGGGAAGGGACAGCAGAAAGATCTGAATTTATGTGTAAACAATTGAAGACATTTTCTAGGTTTGGCAAGTGGTGAGAATTAAAAATGTATAATATATAGCATTCTATAATATGTAATACAATACATAATATGCAATGGTATATATAATGTGTAAGAAAATCATATAAAATAATATGAAATGGTGTATATATAATGTGTAACAAAATCATATAAATGAGCTCATTCATTTAAAAGATCCATGTAATCTTTTTGAAGACAGAGGTCATATCTGACTCAGCACTCTGTCTTTGGCACATAGTACTATGCTTGGCACCTGATATTTCTCTCTTTTTTTTGAGGAAAAGGAAAGTAAATATAAGATAATATTGTTCCCATTTTTATAATGTAGGCAGAGATAGGAATAACAAATTTTAACAACCTGGAACTTTAAGAAATTCTGTCTTGCTATAGAATAGATTATATGATCCTTAAGTTACTGAAATAATCACTATGACTCTTTAGTAATATCATTAATAATATACGTAATGCCTAATAATAGAATGAAACATTTTGGTGACCTCTGACCATGTCATATCAAATACATTGGTCCTATGTTATTAGACTTTTTTTCTCAGGGTCATTCCAATGCCTGCAGATTATATCTCAAATATATTTCTCCTCCAAGTTATATAGTAATATGATATGTATTTTCATTCTTATATAAAACTAGAATTCTATTTCACTCCTTTCAGCTCTCAGTCCTATATAATATCTGCCAGATCATAATGTAATGAAAATTTACTTTTTAAGACTGGCAAGATGGAAATTTGTAATTGAAGATTTTTTGTTAAGGCCAAAAGAATGACATTTCGTCTTTTATTAAAGTATAACATCATATATTCTCAGTACTGTGTGTACACCTAGATTCTTGTCAGTTAAGAAAGGAACATAGGAAAATAACTGAGAGGAACTTGTGTAAAATGCAATAAATTACAATGGCATGGGACAGACTCATTAAAATTAGTAGTATGAATGATCTTCATAACCAGAGATGGAAATGACGTGATACTTTTCTCAGGGGAGAAATGAAACCACAAAAATATGGGAAGAATTATTTCCAAAATGCATAATAATGTGGTACCACATTTCTCACTCCAGATAGCAGACTGAACACTAAGTCGAAAACAAAACAAACAGAAATACGTGTATAAGCAATTCTAGGTGCTCGCTTCTTGAGGTTGAGAATAAACAGAGTTCTATAACTTAGCACGGGCTTTTAAACAGCAGGTCAATCTACAGAAATTGTCATTTGCCCTGCAAGCTTACAATTAAGTCATTAAATCACAATCAGAGGTGTTAGAAGGAGTAATTAGGAATATGTTGTAGAGTTGCACACTCATAAGAAATTTTTTATGGGAAGGAAAAAATTCTAAGCATTCACTGTGGGGAAGTCTCATAAGACTTTTGAAAATCAAGCATTTCAGCCCATGAGGCTTTTATTTTAGCAAGAACAGCCAAAAGAGGTTTTCTTTTACCTTAATTTAAAGGCTGTTTGAGAATCTTGCCATTTTCATCTATGGCCTAACATGTTCAAAGGAAAAGAAATAGGAAAGTGGATAAATGTATTTCAAAGAAATGATTGCTAAGTTTTTCTTTATATTTTTCTTAAGGAGTCAATTCCAAGCTTCAGTTTGAAATCATGCCAGGTGCTTCATTTGAATTATTCGAGATAAATTCTGACACTGGAGAGGTAGTGACAACCACCATACTTGACAGAGAAATTCAAGAAGTCTTCACCCTTCGAGGTAAGGGATTCTTTGAGTAGGCTAAAAAATAAAAATTAAAAATTAAATTTAAAAAAAACCTGTTAAGTGGTGAAATGTTATATTTTGTTGGGGTGTTTTTAAATAAAATATTATTGAGCCAGTGCTACCTGGTTAGCCTGACATTGTCTAGTTAGAACAACATATTTTAGGTATGAATCAAAGGCCACAATTCATACCGTCTTTGTGTTCTGTGTCAGTACTAGTACGAGATGGGGGATTCCCTTCATTGTCCAGCACCACAACAATCCTCTGCACTGTTGAAGATGAAAACGATCACGCACCAGAGTTTATTGTTTCCAGTTATGACATTGAGGTTCTGGAAAACCAGGAACCAGAGGTTGTCTATACGGTTTTAGCCTCTGATATGGATGCTGGCAATAACAGAGCTGTTGAATATCACATAATTGGTAAGTTTGTTTGTTTGTTTGTTTGTTTGTTTGTTTTTTTAAGACAGAGTCTCACTCTGTCACCCAGGCTGGAGTGCAGTGGCGCGATGGCTCACTGCAACTTCACCTCCCAGGTTCAAGCAATTCTTGTGCCTCAGCCTCCCAAATTGGTAAGTATTTTTAAATTAAAATTTATTCCAGGATGCTGACTGAGTTGACACACACTCTCTGTTGATTACTCTGTGTTTGATACCTGTTGCTTTTCTCTACAAAATACACACCCAGTCAGAACTGACTGGTGCCATGAGCTTTCTCTCTACCTCCTTCTCACAGCCACCTTGAACCACTGCTCTCCACATTCTTTAAAAATCTGCCTTTGCAAACTGCTGTGAATTTTTTTCTATGCTAACATTAGTGGATGTAAGGATGGAAAAGATAGTGTTTTTCTATTTTTGTTGCTTTCATGTGATCAGTTTTAATTTTTTTTAATTTTTCTTGTCTCATAGACAGATTCTTACTGGGTCATTTCATCCAGTCTCTGTCTTTAGCTACCACTGGGATGCCAATGGCTCCCATCTCCATCTGCATCCTAGATCTAGGTCCCGTTAAAGGATATTGTTTTTAAAAGTAAAGTAATAACTCTCATACAAATATAAAAATGGTACCTGCGAATAACTTTTATTTAATTCACTAATGAATAAGTAAACCAAAAAGATGTTAAAATGGGTTCAAGGAGAATTCCAAGAGCCATACACAGGCACATACACACACAAAGGGAATAAGGAATTCTGAAATGCAGAAAAGGTGTATTTGCAAGACAACAATCAGTGCATTTCACCAGATTTACTTGCATTTCTGTGGATAAGAATCATTTACATTATTATCAGTTTTCAACAATTTACAGAGTGGTCAAAATGCGGTGAAGGTGGAAGAACATTCTGATGGCAAAGACACACTGGACACCTGTGCCCCACCCTTCTTTCTTCAATACCAGGACACCTACTAACCTTGTTCCTCCTATTTCAAATTATTTCACAATTTCCTAACAGCCCCAAGGACCCAGTCTTTATATCCAACAGCATTGCATTATCAGTGTGTCCAAAATGACACATCAGCCTCACCCCCTTTCTACCTCCCCCATCATGGTCTGGGTCCTTCTGCTAGTCTCTGCCAGTGATCTTCAGCTTTTTTTTTTTTTTTTTTTTGCTTCACTTACCCTTAAAATAATCTTGAAAACTTATGTACGCAGACATATTTTTATGTTGTCAACTAAACTTTTTTTAAAGAGTAACAAAGGTGTGTTTCCCAGCATATCCTAAATATTGACACATTAAAATAAGACTGTTATATCAATCACCTTTTAAAAGTATTTGATAGAATAAAAAAACCTTAAAAATATATGAAAGGTGTCCAGGTACGGTGGGTCATGGCTGTCATCCCAGCACTTTGGGAGGCCAACGTGGGCGGATCACCTGAGGTCAGGAGTTCGAGACCAGCCTGGCCAACATGGTGAAACCCCACCTCTACTAAAAATACAAAAATTAGCTGGGTGTGGTGGCAGGCACCTGTAATCCCAGCTACTTGGGAGACTGAGGCAGGAGAATCACTTGAACTTAGGAGGCAGAGGTTGCAGTGAGCTGAGATTGTGCCATTGCACTCCCTCCTGGGGGAAAAGAGTGAGACTTTGTCTCAAAAAAAAAAAAAAATATGTGTGTGTGTGGGTGTGTGTGTGTGTGTGTGTGTGTGTGTGTGTATACGTATATCTATTTCATATATATGTGTGTATATATACACGTATATATATTTCATATGTGTGTATATATACACGTATATATATTTCATATATGTGTGTATATATATAAGTATATATATATGAAATATATATAAGTATATATATATGAAAGGCATCCTCCCCTTGTGTCACCTTCCTCTTTCCTGGCTCTGCATGTCTCTTCATGGTCCCAAAGTCTCCACCTGTTCTGCCCAAGCTGAGGCCACCTTCTCAGCCAGGTTGGAAACTGGGAGCTCCGTAGCCCTCGGATGGCTGTGGGACTCAGAAATCTTTCCAGGAGCAGAGAGCATACCTTGGATTGGCAAAGCTGCCTGCCAAGCCACCATGCCCAGGAAATCGGCTAAAAAGGTGACACAGCAAAGGTGATAGAGGAGCCACACAGGAGATAGGCAGGGTTGTCTGCTAAACCTGCCCTTCCAAAAACAAAAGCCAGGCCTAAAACAGCCCCC
Organism: Homo sapiens; assembly: GCF_000001405.40. NCBI lineage: Eukaryota > Metazoa > Chordata > Mammalia > Primates > Hominidae > Homo > Homo sapiens. The sequence goes on along the minus strand of NC_000004.12, from coordinate 154,302,448 downwards.
ACAACTCGGCAAAGAAGGGAGTGAGGTGTGTAAGGGGAGAAAGGGGAAGGGGATGCTGGCAAGGATGAGAACCACCCTGCACAAACCAAGACGCCTGCACAGCGCAGTCACAGGGAGCGCAAGGCGCTGGGAATGCCAAGTGAATTGTAAATTTTCATAGCTCACAGACTCTACTGTTTGAAATATGATTTTTTTAAGTTAATAAAAATGTAGAATTTTACTTAAGTTTTTTTCAATTATATGTATGAATGAGCATTTTCAGTTATATGTTTTGCATTTTTACTTCTTCAATCAATATTACCTTTCTACATCCTTGCAGAATTTTACCATAACGTAATGGACTTTTATGCTTAAAATATTGATCATTTTATTATACTTTTCTACAATTAAAATATGTGGATAAATTTAAGACTTCTAAAAATTTCCAATGAACATAAGGTCTCAGTTTTGAAAATTATATTAGATTGTTATTATTATGATTGTAAGATTAAAATAGCAAAAGTGTATTCCAATTTTGACCAATAATAACATAAAAAGTAAAATTGTGTTGTAAATGCATCTCTGAATCAGATTAATGGGTTCCTTTTTTCCAGTGAGTTCATGATTCTCGGAATGCATGTTCCTTTTTGCTAAAATAAGGCAAAGCAGCTGGGTGCAGTGGCTCACGCCTGTAATCCCACCACTTTGGGATGCCAAGGTGGGCAGATCACCTGAGGTCTGGAGTTAATTTGAGACCAGCCTGACCAACATGGAGAAACCTCGTCTCTACTAAAAATACAAAATTAGCCAGTGGCACATGCCTGTAATCCCAGCTACTCGGGAGGCTGAGGCAGGAGAATCGCTTGAACCCGGTAGGCAGAGGTTGAGGTGAGCTGAGATTGCGCCATTGCACTCCAGCCTGGGCAACAAGAACGAAACTCTGTCTCAAAAAATAAAAATAAAAATAAATAAATAAATAAATAAAAATAAGGCAAAAGGCAAAGCACAGTGCCAAGTCTGTTGCTGTTTCTCTTTGTTACAGATGTAAGAACTGAAAATCCTTGCTCACCTTTTTAAAAATGGAAGTATTGTTACAGAAGTTAATTTAGTACTTGTATGCCTTCTGAGTTATATGCCAAAAAGTTAATGAATAGTCTTTATTTTTTCTTTATCTACCACTTGAAAACTTGAATAGGCTCTATAATTTGGTTGATAGCAGAGACACTCTCCCACTGCATAAGGATATCTTCCCAGGCATTAAAATCAGTCACTGTTTTGACATTGAACTTTCAACATTGGGAATGACCACTTTATTTGGCAGCCATTTATTTGGGTGAGAGGGAGACTTTCTTTTTTAATTTGCAAGAAGAGTGCTTATAAAGGTGAATGTGGGAAAGATAAATTCCATGATCCCAGGTGAGCTCTCAGGTAGAGCAATTTTAGGAATAAGGATATTTAAATTGAACTTCTGGAGATTACCACAGAACTACCTGTTTCCAAGTGAATTCCTTAGAAAACTTCAAGTAACCTAGCTGTACTCAGCCCTCATTTTAAAGATGATTGACTGGTCTAAACACCCTTCACTTATTCGCCTAAGCCGGATCATGAATCCTTTCTCCATAACTTATTTTTTCTCCTTAATATCTTTGCAATGTGTTCACTTCCTGCACGCAAATATTGTTTCAGATACCCCTTGTTGCGCAAGTAGATTACTATGACTCCTAACCTTCCCATTTTCATTTTCTTTTCTTTTTTTTTAAAGACAGGCTCTCGATCTGTCACCAAGGCTGTGCAGTGGTGCATTCACAGCTCACCGCAGCAGCACAATCACAGCTCACTGCAGCCTGTACCCCCTGTCAGGCTCAAGCAATTCTCCCACCCCAGCCTCCTGAGCAGCGGGGAATACAGGCACATGTCACCATGCCTGAATAACTTAAAAACTTTTTTTTTTTTTTTTTTGTAGAGATGAGGTCTCACTATGTTGCCCAGGCTGGACTCAAATTCCTGGACTCAAGCAATCCTCCCGCCTTGGTCTCCAAAAGTTCTGGGATTACAGGAACCATCCTATTTTCTAAACAAACTTTGACATTGCTGCCTCGATACTATTCTTAAAATAGAAATTTGATTCATGACACTTTCCTGTCCAAAATCCTTCAGGGGGCTCCCTCATGGATTTCAGGAGAAACTATAGAATCTTCAGCAGTATACAGAGAGCCCTTCACAATTTGACCCCCTGCTTACCTCCCAAATTCATGTCTTTCCTCTACCGCTACTGCCAGCCCTTTTCCTACTTGCCACATACAAACACCCAGGAACCCTGTGTACTAGTCACACCCAAACATTTGCAGCCTGTTAATTCTTATATTCCTAGAACTTCCCACGGGCTCTTTCCTCTGCATAGAACACTCTCCCCAAAACTTGTAGTATGGCTTTCTCCACTTTAGGAGTGAGATTTGATGTCACTTTTTCCAATAAGCATTTCTTGAACTTACTAACATAGGACTATGTGCCCTTTCTCTGTACTTCTCAGAGAAATAGCACCCCTTGGCTAGCACTATCTATATGTACTCATTTAGCACTCTGTACATATGATTTTCACATGGTACTTTAATACCCGAGTATTGACCAGCCTTTCCTTTTAGACTGTGAACTCTTGGAGCTAGGTCATGTCTTACTCCCTTCATATCTGTGATCTTGAGCACAAACTTGGCACATAGTAGATGCTCATCAAATGTTTGCTGAATGACTGAATCACTTTATCAGCCACAAATACTACAGAAATGTGGGTTTGTCCAATCATCTCTACTTTTGGTGTAAATTAACTGTTCCTCATGAATACAAATGCAGGGCCCTCTCCTCCTCCCTAAAGCTACCTATTGCTGTTGTTTCCTTTGAATGCCATTCCACTTGGTCCTCATATGCCTCTGATATGCAGACTCTAGTAAGTTCCCACACTATTGGGCCTGCTCTTCATCCAAGAATATGGCTGGCAAGCATATGAACCACATTTTTCTTCACTAATTTTCAGGGTTATTTAAAAATGTCTTTGAAAGCTTTTTGTCCCTGTGTTCAATTTTAAGTTTTATTCTACTTGATACGATGGAATATAATAAAGGGCAGATTTTTTTTAAGGAATAGATGAATAGAACAATGTCCTTATTTATGTTTTGGAAGAAATAGTCAAGTGTCCAACTAACTCTAACCAAAGTGTTATGATTCTTGTACAAAATGCTGTGGACATGTAGAAGAGAAGGCTTACTGCAATAGTATAACAGGCATGAATACTGTAGTGGGTACTATTTGAGAAAATAACTACAAATCAAATCTGTTCATTTCTGATTGATATCTTAAAAAAGGACATTATATTCTGTTTTTTTTATCCTCATCTATTGTTTTGTGTTAAATAAAACATATATCTTCATCCTCTTATGAGGAAAAATATATTAAAATTAAAAGTTGTAGATGCACACAAAAAATCATACGGCTGCAAATTAGTGAAAGCAAGTGTTCTAATTATTGACTGATTAAAGATAGGCATTGAATCATATTATTCTGTTTATCCCCTCAATAGAAGTTTCATGAGGGCAGAGCCTTTATCATGCTTACTGTTATATCCCCAATATTTACAAAAGTGCTAGGATACAATATAATCGGGAATAAATATATTTTTAATGAATGTATAAATGAATACCATAGATAGTGCTAGCAAAGAGCTGCTACTTTTTCAATTCAAATGAATTTGTAATTGTTTTCTTTAATAGATGGAAATACTGATGAGTGCTTTACTATAAATGAGATGTCAGGAGAACTCTCAACCACTCGTGCTTTGGACCGGGAGCAAATCAGCAATTTTACCCTTGTCATTCTGTGCTCTGACCTGGGAGATCCACCTAGGAGCTCTGTAATACACCTGCAAGTTAGAGTTTTGGATGCCAATGACCACAGTCCTTCTTTTCCCACACTTTATTACCAGTCCTCTGTGAGAGAAGATGCTGAAGTGGGAACAGTGGTTCTTGTGCTTTCAGCTGTGGACAAGGATGAAGGCCTGAATGGGCAAACTGAGTATTTTCTGACTGATGAGGCTTCTGGTGCATTCACCATTGATCCTATGTCAGGCACATTGAAAACCAGCAACACCCTCGACCGTGAAGCCAGATCTCAGCATACATTTAGTGCTGTGGCCAGAGACTGTAGCATCCAGGGTTCACGAAGCACCACTGTAATTATAAAAGTATATGTCACTGATGTTAATGACAATGATCCAGTTTTGGAACAGAACCCTTTTGATGTGTTTCTTTCCCCCGAGTCGCCTACAAACCAGACAACTGTCATTGTGAGAGCTGATGACCTGGACTTGGGGCCCAATGGAACTGTGGTTTTTAGTTTTGCAGAGACCCAGTCAATGTTTTCTATTGATAAATACACAGGAGAAATTCAATTTCAGCAAAATCCATCTTCAGAATACTTCCCTATCTGGCTGCAGTTAAAAGTTACAGACCAGGGCATTCCAGCCAGGACAACCACGGGTCTCTTGGTCATTCACATGGAAGGAGAAGATGTAAAGATTTCCTTCAGCCACCACCTGTATAAAGGGCTCGTGACTGAAAATTGTGAGGCAGGTGAGTGTCCCTTCAAGTTTTTCATATATTGTACCTGTTTTGACAAAATGCTTAAGAGTACGGATTATACTACAAGAGTGCCATTGCGCATTCAGTTATACATTTTTTAGTTCAATGCCTGTTCTTGATATTGGAATAAACATGGTTAAGTGGAACCTGGTCTGAGATGAAATGACAGGGCAGAAGACAGTGAGGACCAAATTCCTTCTGACCTCTAAAGGAGGGCCCTCCCATTAAAGATTCAGTTAGAAAAGCTAATGAATAAGTGGATGGGGAGCCTTCAATCTGATATTCTTACTGTGTTTTCCTGACCTCTTGTCAGAGTTGTTCTTAGTTCCCTTATGTTTGGAATTACTTAATTAAATTTAGCTTTTATCTTTTTAATAGAACTTACTCTGAAAATTCCTTTATTAAATATTACACATAAAAAAGCCTATAGATACTTCTGGAAATAATATAAGCATGTGGTATCCATAAATATCCAGGTAGGTGTACATGTCAAGACATCTGAAGCAATAGGTTGGGACCTCTCTTTGAAGAGCAAATATAACGTGTGAAGGGCATAAGTCTAAATTGAGAGGCGAACTAAAAGTTGCAGGTGTAACAGGAAAGAGGCAAAAGGAAAGGATGACAGTTAAGGAAGCTGTTGAAGCTGACTAGATGTAATTAATCCACACCTGGGTCAGCAGGGTTTCTTGGGCCCCTGTGAAAAATAATGACAACATCATAAAATATTGATTGACATTTCAAGCTGGCTGATGCTTTGCTTGGAACATGAACTCATTACAAACTGCCAGATCATATTTTAGACACCAGAAGATTATTTTTCCTCGTTTGTTCATTTTTTGCTTTCAAATTCCCAAATTCTAGTGGTTTTAAAAGATTGTAAATCCACCTACCAGTGTTGGAATAGCCTTGATATAAATTATTTAATAACATTTTATAGCTGCCAGCGTTATTTTCTCCCCAAATACGCCTGCAATTTTAACCTTTATTTTCAAATGAAAAATAGATGCCTATCGGAAGCTTAAGTTTTCTGTGGGCCACTCACACATTTGATCTATGAGTAGGCACCACTTGTCATCCTGAGTGAATTATTTTTGGTATTATTATACATTTTCATCACTCCAAACTGCTTTTAACATTTTCTTATTCTTTTAAGAAAACAAAAAATTAAAAGTTAAAACAAATAACTCCAGTGTATTGTTATTTGTTTAACATTTCTTTGTTGGAAAGCCCACAGGTTCAGCTTTTGATTAACATTGCATTCATCTATTAACATTATTAAACTTAACATCTCAATTGTTTAAAATAATGTATAGTTTCTATTTTCAAATCAGTCTTTTGGTTGGTAAAAGTTCTTTAAGAGTCAGTCATTAAATGTTCACTTAATCGTAGGAAGAGGCACTCAGAATTTCTGGTAAGACACAGGCTGGCCCCACAGCAGTGTGACAAGAAAAGTTAACCAAGTGACTCCCCGCTCTTTACTGTGAATGCCACCCCTCCTGACTACCCCTCCACCCCTCGCATTTCCAAGCCAGATTAGAGAAAACGTAACTGTTCTGAATCTCTTTAAAAGTTAAGGATAAACCACTTGGTTGCCCACGATGTTTAACTCAACTAAACAATTTAAATGAATCTCCTAGAAACCAGCTTTTATTTCTTCGGTTTCATTTCCGGTGCTTTGATTGTCATGATAAGAATGAATCAGCAATCATAGTCCATGATGTGGACTATTCACAACTTCATGCATTTCATTGACTTGCCAGGAGGGGAGAAATTGAAATTATGAATGATATTGATACCCCGATTAAAAGTAAATACTCAGACTTTGAAAATGAAATAAAATTAAAACTGATGACATATGGGAGGACTCTCACTAGTAAAATGTATTTACTATTGTACAATACATAAATTAGATCTTGATGTTTTGAAGGAAAAACCCTTCTTCCAGCCCTTTGGCAGTTGATCTGTTGAATTCAGGCTCCACTCTTGGTAAGGCTGGGCACATGTGTGTTAGAGTGTGAAACTCATGACACCAGTTAATGTAGTTGAGTGGGTCGGCCTCTGTGATGGCTCTACTGGGCATATTCTCTTTGATGACTTCCTCACAGGGATACTGTAAAGATTAAGTTTTAAGAGGATACTAGTCATTGCTTTCTTTGGTTGTTATTTTTGTTATCTTTCTGTCCCAAATCTATGAATTTCATAAAGTTACTTGGGTATAAATTCTCACCAGAGCAACCAGTTGTTACATAACAATTATATTACAACAATGAACTAGTGGTTGTTAGGGGCCTACGGTATGTCTTTTTTTGTCTTCAAACCAGATAAGAACGATACTTTCCAAGGAGATGAATTTCTCCATAAACACAGTGTTATTCTCGGCTTTGGAATGTATGAATGTTTCCACATATGAATTCCTATGATAATGAAAGAGGGAAGCACATGTTATCTGTCATTGCTATTTTGTTATTTAGGGACTGTCTCTTGTTTTATTATAAATTCATTGGAATGAGCATTATCTAACTAGGCATCTAAAATGGTATGGAATTTAATCATTTGACTTATGACTCCAAGTTAGCTGTAGGGAAGGAAGATAGAGAAACGTCTTATTCTCAGAAGAGGGTACGTACTTCACAAAGCAGTTTTTATCTTTGCAAATTCACCCAAGTCCCACATCTGGCCCTCAGCCATACAGGCACAAGACATCATTTGATTAACTCACCAAGGATTTCCTTTCCCCAGGGGTGGGAATTTATTCACCAATATGAAAGAGACTGATATATACACCATGACAGTTTTGTTATTTATTTGGTGAGCTGTGATTGTTATGTGGATTACAGTAGTCATATTGGAATGACCAGTTTTCTCTTTCTAGGAATAAAAGACACAAGAAGCGAAGTTGTAAACAGAAAGTTGCTTGCTAATCCTCAACAATTAGGAGTAGGATGTCATTCAAGTGTTGAGTGTCATCAGCCTACATTACTCTTTCCTCAGGCAGAGCTTACCCAGCCCTGCCAAGTCAGATTTTATGATGCCTTCATTGACTGCCTGGGCTTCCATTACTCACCAATTTCCTTTTGATTTACACATTCCCTGTTGGTGTTTTAACACCTCTGTCAAGGCTCGGCCCTGGAAGCCACTTATGATTTTTTATGATGATTTTGCATAACACTGTTCTGAACTGTTGTACTTTGTTTATAAATGTAAAGGGTTAATATTTTGGAACTATATTAATACTCTTCTGTTGCCTATCTGTAGATAAGACCTTCCACCTATTCTACAAAACACATCCATTTGCTGCGGATAGCATTAGGATTATTATAGCAGGAGTACAAAGAGAGGATATTCTGCCTTTGATAAACAAAATACTGAGTGGGGCTCATAAAAAATATTAGATCAAGCATCAAGAAATCAACTAATTTTGTGTGCATATCAGCTGTACTGTTTAAAACTGTAACTCTGCTTCATACATCTTTAACTATTGAAGGACACTCATCAATATTCCTGAGGATACCCCTCACAGTTTTTCTCCTTCCCCAACATACTTCCTATTATATGTTGACTATATATTTGATATATTATATACAATATTCAATTTTAAGAAGCCTTGAACATCTATTCATTTAGTCTCTTAAAAGGTGGTTTTGATGATCAAATGAGCACTTTGTAATCTCTAAAGCATTTCACCATCATGATTACCAGTAGTTATAAGTCTAAGATATGAAGATGAAAGTGCAGCCAGACCCTGTGGATAGCAGAGCTAGAGGATATTTGCTCCTAGTGGGTATTCCCCAAATGTCTGTTGATATCATTTTACCATTTAACCATTACTTCTAAGATAACAAAAGGCATATATATGCACAAATGAGGAAAAAAAAACTCATGGGGTAAGAGGGAAGGGTCGGGGAGATAGTTGTGCCAGGCAGTGGAAATGTCATGCACAAAGCTTGGGGCCTCCACAGGGTGTGGTGAGTTGACCCCGCGACCAAGCGTCTCATCTGGAATAGCTGGAGAGCAGCGTGCACAGAGCCTCATGTGCTTTCCAGTGATAATTTGGAAGAGAGAGACATTGATGGCCTTTAAATTATCAAAATCAAACTTGACGTTGTAGAAAGCTCACTTTGGAAGCTGTGTGGAGTGTACCCTGGAGGAGAGAAATGAGTTAGGAGGATACTGTGGTGATTTATGTGATAATGACCCAGGCCTGAAGAAAGCCACAGCAGTGAGGGATGATAAGGAGGAATGTGCTTCTCACGTGTTTCCAAGACAGCCTCAATGAGGCCTGGGGGTTGTTTATACCTGAGGTTCTCAACCAGGACTACACATCGAAATACCAAGGGAGATTTAAAAAGTTCCTAATACCGGCCGGGCGCAGTGGTTCACGCCTGTAATCCCAGCATTTTGGGAAGCCGGGGTGGGTGGATCACCAGAGGTCAGGAGTTTGACACCAGCCTGACCAACATGGAGAAACCCCATCTCTACTAAAAATACAAATAATTAGCCGGGCATGCTGACGCTTGCCTGTAATCCGGGAGAATCGCTTGAACCTGGGAGGCAGAGGTTGCGGTAAGCCAAGATCACGCCATTGCACTCCAGCCTGGGCAACAAGAGCGAAACTGCGTCTCAGAGAAAAAAAAAAATCGAATACCTGGATATCCACCCCTTTCCCGCATCCAGTTAAATGGTAATCGTTGAAGGTAGAGCACACATTGTTTATTTGTAGAAGCTCCCATGCGATTCCAATGTGCAGCCAAGGGTGAAGGAAGAGGGAGGGCTGAGAAGAAAATCTAAAGTAACATCAATATTTTACAGGAGTTGATCAAATAATGTATCTAAAAAGGAGATTGAGTTGGAGGGCTAGGGTGATAGTGACAATTCCCAGGAGGATGGTGTTAGAGAAACAAGAAAGTGGCACATTTAAGAAACGGGGCGGTCAACCATATTTAATATAGAGCAGGGGCTAGGTAAGATAGAGATGGAAAAATGGCTACTGGTTCACCTGGGTGCCTGTCCCAAAAGCAGAAGTAAGTGAGGTAGTGGGCTGCCACCTGCTGGGAGTGGGGCTACAACTCACTGAGTCCCTGGGCTTGGTTGAGTTGGGAACAGCATTACCTGAGATGTTCTGGGGATGACATCTTGGTATCAGGAGGTATGAACATGGGAGAAAGGAAGGCATGTCTGAAATAACAAGTCCATGTGTTAAATATAGAGGATAAGACAATAAAGGAATGGCACTAAAAGCAAAATAAGGTGCTTGGAGAGTCTAGAGAGGAGTAAGTTTGCTCTGTTGAAGTAGTTTAGGATTTGGGCCAAGAATAGATACCAGCAGCCCAGGCTTTCTAATGTGAATTCTGGAGTCAGCTGTGGCTTCTTATAGGAATTCTTCATAGCTAAATGGAACAACTTGGGAGGGAATTGGGATTTTGGGAGTGGACTAATTCCATAGAGATTTATTTTAAAAGCCAGAATATAGTGAAGTGCAGAGTGAAAAAGTGAAATCAGTCCCTGAAATCAGACAAAGACATCAGTTTATTTGTCACAAGCTTTTCCTATGAAGGGAAAGAAAGGAAAGTGGCAATAGCTTGAAGAACCCTGAAGAATCAGAGGATTATTTTGTTATGTTTCTGAAAGCAGAAACAGGTTTGGGTATTTGTGATTTATAGCACTGGAAAATTTACAAGAAACTTTCATTATTTTTTATTATAGAAAATTTGTTTTTTTACATTTCAAAAAATTTTAATTTTTAATTTATGCAGGTATGTAGTAGGTATATATATTTATGGGTTATGTGAAATATTTTGATACAGGCATGCAATGTGTAATAATCACATCAGGCTAAATGGAGTATCCATCTCCTCAAGCTTGTATACTTTGTGTTGCAAACAATCCAGTTATACTCTTAGCTAATTTTACATGTACAATAAATTATTGTTGACGGTAGGAACCCTGTTGTGCTATCAAATACTAGACCTTATTCATTCTATCTGACTATATTTTTGTACCCATTCACCATTACCACTTCCCCTCTAACCTCCCACTACCCTTCCCAGCTTCTGGTAACCATCCTTCTTCTCTGTATTTCTATGAGTTCAATTATTGTAATTTTTAGCCCCTACAAATAAGTGAGAACATGTGAAGTTTTTCTGTCAGTGCCTGGCTTATTTCACTTAACATAATGACCTCCAGTTCCATCCATGTTGTTGCAGATGACTGGGTCTCATTCTTTTTTTATGGCCGGATGCTACTCTATTGTGTATATGTACCACATTTTCTTTATCCGTTCAGCTGTTGATGGACACTTAAGTTGCTTCCAAATCTTGGCTATTGTGAACAGTGCTGCAATAAACATAGAAGTGCAGATATCTTCAATGTACTGATTTTCTCTCTTTTAAGTATATAACCTAACAGTGCAATTGCTGGATCATATGATAGCTCTATTTTTAGGTTTTTGAGGTACCTTCACACTGTTATTTATTTATAGTGGTTGAGCTAATTTACATTCCCACCAACAGCGTATAAGGATTCCCCTTTCTCAACATCCTCACTAGCATTTTTTTTTTCCTGTCTTTTGGATATAAGTCATTTTAAATGAGATGAGATGATATTTCACTGTAGTTTTTTGATTTGCATTTCTCTGATAATCAATGGTGTTGAGCACCTTTTCTTATACCTGTTTGCCATTTATATGTATTCTATTGAGAGATGTCTATTTGGGTGTTTTGCCCATTTTTTAATCGGATTATTAGATTTTCTTCCAAAAAGTTATTTGAGCTTCTTACACATTCTGGTTATGAATCCCTTGTCAGATAGATAGTTTGCAAGTATTTTCTCCCTTCAGTGGGTTGTCGCTTCACTTTTCTGATTCTTTCCTTTGCAATGCAGAAGCTTTTTAACTTGATATGATCTCATTTTTCTGTCTTTGCTTTGGTTGTCTGTGTTTGTGGGGCACTACTCAAGAAATCTACTCCCACTCCAATTTCCTAGAGCGTTTCCCCAATGTTTTCTTTTAGCAGTTTTATAGTTTGAGGTCTTAAGTTTAAATCTTTAATCCATTTTGATTTAATTTTTGTATGTGGTGAGAGGTAGGGGTCTAGTTTTATTCTTTTGCACATGGATATACAGTTTTTCCAGCACCATTTGTTGAAGAGACTGTTCTTTCTCCAGTGTATGTTCTTGGCAACTTTGTGAAAAATGAGTTCACTGTAGATGTCTGGATTTGTTTCTGGATTCTCTATTCTGTTTCATTGGTTTATATGTTTGTTTTTATGCCAGAACCATGCTGTTTTGTTACTATAGTTTTGTAGTATAATTTGAAGCCAGGTAATGTGATTCCCTTTGTTCTGTTCTTTCTGCTCAGGATAGCTTTGACTATGATGGGTCTTTTATGATTTCATATAAATTTTAGATTTTTTCTATTTCTATGAAGAACGTCATTGGTATTTTAGTAGGGATTGCATTGAATCTTTAGGTTGCTTTTGATAGTATGGACATTTTAAAAATAGTGATTCTTCAATCCATGAACATGGAATATCTTTTCCTTTTTTGTGAAGCCTCCTCAATTTTTTTCATCAATCTTTTATACTTTTCATTGCAGAAGTCTTTCACTGCTTTGGTTAAGTTAATTCCTAGGTATTTTATTTTATTTGTAGCTATTGTAAATGAGATTACTTTCTCGTTTCTTTTTCATATTGTTTGCTGCTGGCATGGCAATATGCCATGAATTTTTGTAGGTTGATTTCGTATTCTGCAACTTCACTGAATTTGTTTATCAGTTCTAATAGTTTTTTGGAGGAGTCTTTAGGTTTTTCCAAATATAAGATCATATCATCTGCAAACAAGAATAATTTGACTTTTTCCTTTCCAATTTGGATGTCCTTTATTTCTTTCTCTTGTCTGATTGCTCTGTTTTGCTGAGGTATGTTTCTTCTATACCCAGTTTGTTGAAGGTGTTTATCATGAAGGGATGTTGAATTTCATCAAATGCTTTTTCAGCATGAATTGAAATAATCATATGGTCCTTTATTTTGTTGACATGATGTATCACATCCATTGGTTTATGTAAGTTGAACCATCCTTGCATCCCTGGGATGAATCCCACTTGGTCATGATGAATGATCTTCTTAATGTGTTGTTGAATTGGTTTGCTAGTATTTTGTTGAGGATTTTTACATCAGTGTTCATCAGAGATATGGCCTTTACTTTTCTCTTTTTTTGATGTCTCTTAGTCTGATTTTGGTACGAAGATAATAATGACCTGGTAGAATGAGTTTGGTAGTATTCTCTCTTGCTTTATTTTTTGGAATACTTTGAGTGTGATAGGTGTTAGTTCTTCTGTAAATGTTTGGTAAAATTCAGCAGTAAAGTCATCAGGTCCTGGGATTTTCTTTGCTGGGAGACTTTTTATTACAGCTTTGATCTCATTACATATTATTGGTCTGTTCAGGCTTTGGATTTCTTTATAGTTCAATATTGGTAGGTTATATGTGTCTATGAATTTATCCATTTATTCTATGTTTTCTAATTTATTGGTGTATAATTGTTCATAGTAGCCACTAATGATCCTTTAAATTTATGTAGTATCTGTCGGAATGCCTTCTTTTTCACCTCTGATTTTATTTATTTAGGTCTTCTCCCTTTTCTTCTGAGTCTGGCTAAAGGTTTGTTGATTTTGTTTATCTTTTCAAAAAGCCAATTTTTTGTTTCATTGATCTTTGTATTGTTTTCTTCATTTAAGTTTCATTTATTTCTGTTCTGATCTTTGTTGTTCTGATCTTTGTTATTTCTTTTCTGCTACCAATTTTGAGTTTGTTTTGCTCTTGCTTTTTTAATTCTTTAAGATGCATTGTTAGATTGTTTATTTGACATTTTTCTACTTTTTTGATGTAGGCACTTACAGCTATAAACTTTACTCTTTGTACTGCTTTTGCTGGATCCCATACGATTTGCTATTTTGTCTTTCCATTATCGTTTGTTTCAAGAAATGTTTAAATTTTCTTTTAAATTTTTCCATTGAATCACTGGTCATTCAGGAGCATATTGTTTAATTTTCATGTGTCTGTATAATTTCCAAAATACTTTTTGTTATTGATTTCTAGTTTTATTCCTTTGCAGTCAGAGAAGATACTTTATATAATTTTAATTATTGTCAATATTTTGTCAAGACTTGTTTTGCAGCCTAACATATGGTCTGTCCTTGAGAATGATCCATGTGCTGAGGAGAAGAATGTGTATTCTCCATCCATTTCATTGGATGAAATGTTCTGTAAATATCTATTGGGTCCATTTGATATATGGTGCCTATTAAGTTCAATATTTCCTTGTTGATTGTCTGTCTGGATGATATATCCAATGCTGAATGTGGAGTGTTGAAGTCTTCAGCTATTATTGTACTGGGGTCAATCTCTCTTTAGGTCTAATAATATTTTCCTTATATATCTGGGTCCTCCAGTGGTGGGTGCATATATATTTACAAACATTATATCCTTTTGCTGAATTGATTCATCATTGCATAATGACCTTCCTTGTCTATATAGTTTTTGTGTTGAAATCTATTGTATATGATATAAATATAGCTACTTTTTCTCTTTTTTGTTTCCATTTGCATGGAGTATCTTTTTCCAGCTCTTTATTTTCAGTCTGTGTGTCTCTTCATAGGTGAGGTGTGTTTCTAGTAGGCAAAAGACCATTGTGTCTTCTTCTTATATCCATTTAACCATACTATGTCTTTTGATTGGGGAGTTTAGTCCAGTTACATTCAGTGTTATTATTGCTAAGTAAGGATTTACTCCTGCCATTTTGTTATTTGTTTTCTGATTGTCTTAGAGTCTTCTCTTCCCTTTTTCTTATCTTCCTGACTTCGTTTTAGTGAAGGCGGTTTTCTCTGGTTGTGTATTTTAATTTCTAGCGTTTTTGTTTTCATTGTATATTTTTTGATTTGAGGTTACCATGCGGCTTGCAAATAATATCTCATAACTTATTATTTTAAACTGATGATAACTTGGCACCGAATGCATAAACAAACAATCAACCAAACAAAGAGAAAACTAATAAAGACTACACTTTAGGCAGGGTGCTGTGGCTCACATCTATAATCCCAGGATGTCAAGAGGCTGAGGCAGGTGGATCACTTGAGGCCAGGAGTTCATGACCAGCCTGGCCAACATGATGAAACCCATCTCTACTTAAAGAAATAGAAAAATTAGCCAGGTATGGTGCACATACCTGTAATCTCAGCTACTTGGAAAGCAGAGGTACAAGTATCACTTGAATCTGGGAGGCGGAGTTTGCAGTGAGCCAAGATCATACCACTGCACTCCAACCTGGGAGACAGAGTAAGGCTCCTTATCAAAAATTTTTAAAGAAGACTATACCTTAACTTTGCTCCCTCACTTTTCAACTTTTTGTTGTTTCTATCTTATTGTACTGTCTTGACTATGTCTTGAAAAGTTGTTGTAGTTATTATTTTTGGTTGGTTCATTGTTTAGTCTTTCTACTTAGAACAAGAATAGTTTACACACCACAGTTACAGTGTTATAATATTCTGTGTTTTTCTGTGTACTATTACCAGTGAGTTTTGTACCTTAAGATGATTTCTTATTACTCATTAATGTCCTTTTCTTTCTGATTGAAATACTCCCCATAGGATTTCTTGTAAGACAGGTCTGGTGTTGATGAAATCCCTCAGCTTTTGTTTGTATGGAAAAGTCTTTATTTCTCCTTCATATTTGAATGATATTTTCACTGAGTATGGTATTCTAGGATAAAAGCTTATTTCTTCCAGAACTTTAAATATGTCATGCCACCCTCTCTTTTCCTGTAAGGTTTCCACTGAAAAGTCTACTTCCAGATGTATTGGAGCTCCACTGCATGTTGTTTCTTTTCTTGGGCTGCTTTTAGGATCCTTTCTTTATCCTTGACATTTGGGAGTTTATTAAATGCCTTGAGGTAGTCTTCTTTGGGTTAAAACTGCTTGGTGTTCTATAACCTTCTTATACTTATATATTGGTATCTTTCTCTAAGTTTGAGGAGTTCTCTGTTATCATCCCTTTGAATAAACTTTGTACTCTTACCTCTTTCTCTACTTTCCCTTTAAGGCCAATAATTCTTAGATTTGCCCTTTTGAGGCTATTTTCTAGATCTTGTAGATGTGCTTTCTTCTTTTTCATCCTTTTTTCTTTTGTCTCCTCTGTTTATTTTCAAATAGCCTGCCTTCAAGCTCACTAATTCTTTCTTCTGCTTGATCTGTTCTGTTGCTTAGAGACTGTAATGCATTCTTAAGTATGTCAATTGTATTTTCCAACTCCAGAATTTCTGCTTGAATTTTTTCAATTACTTCAATCTCTTTGTTAAAGTTATCCAGTAGGATTCAGAACTCCCTCTCTGTGTTATCTTGAAATTCTTTGAGTTTTTGCAAAACAGCTGTTTTGAATTCTCTGTCTGAAAGGTCACCTATCTCAGTTTCTCCAGGATTTGTCCCTGGTGCCTTATTTAGTTCATTTGGTAAGGTCATGTTTTCCTGGATGGTACTGATGCTTATGGATGTTCTTCAGTGTCTGCATATTGAAGAGTAGGTATTTATTGTAGTCTTTGCCATCTAGGTTGTTTGCATCTCTTCTTCTTGGCAAGACTTTCCAGGTATTCGAAGTGACTTTGGTGTTGTGATCTAAGTTTTTGGTCACTGCAGTCATATCTGCATTAGGGGGTTCCTAATGCAGAGGCACCACCTTGGTGGTCCTGGATATAACCCAGAAGAATTATCTTGATTACCAGGCAGAGACTCTTGTTCTCTTCTCTTCCTTCCTTCCAAACAAATTCTTTTGCTCTGTGCTGAGCTGCCTGAAGCTGTGGAAGGAGTGACCCAAGAACCCCTGTGACCACCACCACTGGGACTGCACTGGGTCATACCTGAAGCCAGTACAGCACTGGGTCCCCTTGAAGGCCTATAGTAACCACTGCCTTGCTACCAGCTATGTTCACTCAAGGCCCCAGGGCTCTACAGTGGATGTTGAAGCCAGCCGAGCTTGTGTCCTTTCCTTCATGGCAGTGAGTTCCCCTGAAGCCTAGGAGTGTACAGAGATGTCATCAGAAAGTCAGGACTCCTGACACATCTACCTGGTGCTCTATTCTACTGCAACTGAGCTGGCACCCAAGCCACAAGACAAAAGTCCTTCCTATTCTTCCCCCAGCTTTTCTACAAGCATAAGAGTCTCTCTCATATGGCCACCACCACTCCAGGCCCATGAGGAATACTGTCTGGCTACTGCTAATGTTCACTCAAGGCCAAAGGAATCTTTACTCAGCTTGTGATGAATATTGCCAGGCCTGGAACTCTCCCTTCAAGGCAGTAGGCTCCCCTCTGCCTTGGGGCAGTTCAAGAAATGCTGTCCAAGAGCCAAGGCCCGGAATCAATGATCCTAAGAGCCCACTTGGTGCTCTGTCCCACTGTGGCTGAGCTGGTACCTAAACTGCAAGACAAAGTCCCCTTTCCCCTTCCCTCTCTTTTTCTCTAGCAGAAAGGGTCTCTCCCCATAGCCACCACATCTGGGAATATGCTGGGTCACACATGAAGCCAGCACATCTCTGAGTCTCGCCCAGGGTTCATGGTGAGTACTCCTGGCTACCAAGGAGTACTTCAGGGCCCAAGGGCTCTTTCATTAGCAGGTGGTGAATCTTGTCAGGACTAGGTATTTGCCTTAAAGATAGCAGGTTTCTTTCTGGCCCAGGGTGTGTCTAGAAATGTTGTCTGGGAGCTAGGGCTTGGGATGGGGGCCTCAGCACTCTGCCTAATGCCCTATCATACTGTGGCTGAGCTGGTATCCAAGTTGCAAGACAAAGTCTTCTTTACTCTTCCCTCTCCTCTGCTCAAGTGGAAGGAAAGAGTCTGTCCTGGAGTTATAAGCTGTGCTGCCTGGGGTTAGGGGAGGGGTGGTGAAAGTACTCCCTTGGCCACCCCAGTTGGTGTCTCAGTAGGTCATGTGCTCCCCGAAGTCCACTGGCTTCAAGCCCCGCACAATTCCTTATCCAGGAATTGTGGTCCTTGTGGCCTAGACAAACTTTCCAGAGCTCTTTAGCCTGCAGTGGCAAGGCTTGCTGGAATTCAGGTTCCAACTGCTGAGACAGGAGATTCCCCTATCACCAGGGTTGGATTAAATGTTCCCTCCATGGGAGCTGGCTGAGTTCTGCCCAGTGTTGCTTTGTGCTGTGACAGGACAGCACTGAGTTCCAATGCAGAGTCCCACAATCACCATGCTCACCCTCTCCCAAGTGCACAGATTCTCTCTCTTCAGCACATGGCCACTGCCAGGAGATGGGGAAGGTGGGGTTGTATTCAATTCAAGACTGTCCCTACACTCCTCAGTGCCTCTTTTGGTGATATGAAGTAAAAACCAGGTACTGTGATTGCTCACCTGATTTTTGGTTCTTATGAAGGTCCTTTTTTGTGTAGATAATTGTTCAATTTTGTTTCCCTGTTGGGAGGACAATCTGGGGAGACTTCTATTTTGCCATCTTGCTCAACCTCCTTATTAATATTTAAGTCAAAAATAGAATAAAACATTTGGTAGAAATAACAGGATTTTATTTTTGTTTTTAATTGGCGTCTATTGTTTGTGGATGTCTGAAGCCTGATTTTAGATTATTTTGAGGATAAAAATGCTGTTTTCATGAAGAGCTGCTGCAACAATCATTGAATTATGGAAATACTGTAGTGTAGTTTTTATTATTTGGCAACTAAAAACATCTTAAAAGGCATTTCTTTAAGTGAAGTGTAACTGTACATTTTGGTAGATACATTTACCTTGTTTTTTGAGATAATTGGAAATGTTCTGGGTTATCTCAAAACCAAAGTTGAGAATTACTCACATAGAAAAATTATGCAACCTTTCTTTCTGAACACATGCAGGCTCTGGATTCTAGCTTGATCTGGAGTTCTGGGAGCTGGAAAGGATAATGAGGATGGCTCCTGAAAATTCAGGGAATCTAAAGTCTGAGTGTCAACTTTGGGATGACAGCCCATACAAGAAATGGTTGGGAAGTGAGGGAAAATTGGCAGCACCAGGTCCACAATCAAGATGTTGACTCTGATCCAACACTGAAGCAGCAGTGAAAATTCTCAAACTCATGTCTTAAATACAGTCTTCTGTAAATCACAAAATTAGAGATATAGTTGGAACATCTAGGGATCATTTTAGCACCTGCCTTTCTCTAAGTTGCTATGTGTGCATTTTTAAATAATTAAGTGCAACAATTTATAATCACTTCTTTGAAAGTTGCCTCATTAAAATCTATAATCCTATTAAAAATCTATTTCAGACTTAATCAATTGTGTTTACTTCTCATTGCATGCATTAACTTTATTTTGGTTTATCTGCACATCTTTTTTTTTTTTTTGCTTAAACTTATAAAAAAATAAGCAGTTTTCTGGCTTCTCTATTATTTCTTTAGGTGTTCACAAAAGCAAATAAGTTTAAGAATGTATACCATTTTCATTTTAAAGCATGATTTTCACCTATCCACAAATTTTGGAAAATTATTTCTTTTGAGCATACATTTTCCATGCTTTGTCTCACATCAGGAGTGATTTTTTTAAAAAGCCTTAGTAATGGTTCAGCCATTTTTAATGATAGGAAGGTGGTAGAAAAAAATCAATGCATTTCTTCTTTTTTTATTGTGTTAAAAACACATAACATAAAATTTACCATCTTGATTATTTCTAAGTCTACGACAGTGTTAACTGTGTGCACATTGTTACACAACAGATCTCTAGATATTTTTCATTTTGTAAAATTCAAATTGTGCCCACCAAGCTATTTTCTTCTGCCCCCTCCACCAACCCTTAGCAAATGCCATTCTACTTTCTGTTTCTAAGAGTCTATTTAAATACTTCATATAAGTGGAATCAGACAGTATTTGTTTTTGTAACTGGCTTATTTCACATAATGTCATTAAGCTTTATCCATTTTGTAGCATATAACAGGATTTTCATTTCCTTCTTTTTAAAGGCCAAATAATATTTCATTGAATGTATATACTACGTTTTGGCTATCCATTCATTCATTGAGGGACATTTAGGTTGCTTTTACCTCTCATTTATTATTTTTAAAAATGCTGCAAGGAACATGAGTATGCTAATATCCCTTTGAGATCCTGTTTTCAATTCTTGGGGATATATATCCTGAAGTGGAATTGCTGGATCATAAAGTAATTCTATTTTTAATTTTTTGAGGAACCTCTGTACTATGTTCCATAGTGGGCTGCACCATTTTACATTCCCAGCAACAGTGCACAAAGGTTCCAATTTCTCGACATCCTTGTCAACATTTGTTATTTTCTGTTTTTTTTTTAATTTTTGATATAAAATAAATGCCATCCTAATGGGTATAAGGTAATATCTTGTGGTTTTGATTTTTACTTCCCTGATATTTAATGATATTGACCGTTTGGATATCGTCTTTGGAGAAATGTTTGTTCAAGTCCTTTGTTCATTTTTAATCAGGTTATTTGCTTTTGTTCTCTTGTTTATTTGCAAGAGTTATTTATATACTATGGATATTAACCTCTCATCAGATATGTGGCTTGCAACTATTTTCTCTTATTATATAAGTTCCCTTTTTAATCTGTTCATTGTTTCCTGTGCTGTGAAAAAGCTTTCAGTTTGATATACTCCTATTTGTCTATTTTTTTGCTTTTGTTGCCTATGCTTTTGGTCTTATATCCAAAGAATGAATCATTGCTAAATTAAATATCATGAAGCTCTCCTCCTATATTATATTAATTTTGGAGTTTCAGCTCTTACATTTAAGTCTCTAATCCATTCTGAGTGGATCTTTGTAGATTGTATAAGAAAAGGGTCCAACTTCAGTATTTCATATGTGGATATTCAGTTTTCCAAGCACCATTTGTTGAAGATACTATTCATACCCTATTATGTAACCTTGGCACCCTTATTGAAGTTCATTTGATCATATACATGTGGGTTTATTTCTAGGCCTTATATTCTGTTCCATTAGTCTATATGTCTGTCTTTATTCCAGTATCATACATTTTGATTGGTGTAGCTTTGTAAACTGTTTCGAAGTCAGTAAGTATGAAGCCTCTAGCTTTGTTTTACTTTCTCAAGATTATTTTGACTATTCAGGGTCCTTTGACATTCCATATTTATTTTAGGGTAGCTTATACGAACTCTACAAAAAATGACATTGAAGATTTGGTAGGGATTGAATTGAATCTGTAGATTCCTTTTGATACTATGGTCACTTTAACAATATTGTCTTCCATTTCATAAACATGGAATGGTTTTCCATTTATTTGTGACTTCTTTGATTTCCTTCAGTAATGTTTTGAAATTTTCAACGTATTAATATTTTACCTCATTGATTAAGTTTATTCTTAAGTATTTTATTTTGTTTGATGATGTTGTAAATGGTATTGTTTTTCTAATTTTCTTTTCAGATTGCTTATTGTTACTGGATAGAAACACAACTAATATTTGCATATTGATTTTTGTATCCTGCAACTTTGCTGAATTTGTTTATTAGTTTTTCTTGTGGGATCTTTAGGGTTTTACACATACAGGATTATGTCGTCTGCAAAGATAATTTTACTTTGTTTTTCTTTTTAGTTTGCATGCATTTTTTTTCTTCTTCTTCTTTCTCTTGTCTAATTGCTCAGGCTAGGACTTGTATACTGTGTTAAATAGAAGTGGTAATAGTGGGCATTCTGGCTGGGCATACTGGCTCACACCTGTAATCCCAGCACTTTGGGAGGTCGAGGTGGGCAGATCACCTGAGGTCAGGAGTTCAAGACCAGCCTGGCCAACATGGTGAAACATTGTCTCCACAAAAATACAAAAATTAGCCAGGTATGATGGCGGATGCCTGTAATCCCGACTACTCAGGAGGCTGAGGTGGGAGAATCACTTCAACCTTGGAGGCAGAGGTTGCAGTGAACCGAGATCATGCCGTTGCACTCTAGCCTGGGTGACAGAGTAAGACTCTGTCTTTAAAAAAAAAAAAAAAAGAAGTGAGCATTCTTGTCTTGTTCCTTATCTTAGCATAAATGCTTTTGGTTTTTCACTGTTGAGTGTTGTGTTAGCTGTGGGATTTTTAGATATGGCCTTTATTATGTTGAAATAATTTCCTTCTATTCCTAGTTTGAGTTTTTACCATGAAAGCATGTTGAATTTTGTTATACGCTTTTTCTGCATCTACTGAGATGATCATGTAATTTTTATTTTTTGTTCTGTTGATGTGGTGTATCGCATTAATTTGTTTTTGTATGTTGAACAATTCTTGCATCCCAGGGACAAACCCCACTTGGTCATGGTATATAATCCTTTTAATGTGCTGTTGAATTATGTTTGCTAGTATTTTATTGATAAATTTTGCATATATATTTATCAGGGAGATTGGTCTGAAGAAAACTTTCTTTTTAGTATCTTTGTCTGACTTTGGAATGAGAATAATGCTGGCCTCATAATATGAGTTTCAAAGTATTCTCTCCTCTTCAATTTCTTGAAAGAGTTTAAGAAGAATTGACATTAATTTTTTAAATGTTTCTTAGAATTCTCCAGTGATGCCATCTGGTCCTGGAGTTTTCTTTGTTGAGAGTTTTTGATTATTGACTCAATCACCTTACTAATTACAGGTTTCTTGAGATTTTCTATTTATTCATGATTCAGTCTTGGTAGGTTATATATTTCCAGAAATGTATCCATTTCATCTAGGTTATCTAATTTTTTGCTGTATAATTGTTCAAATTAGTCTCTTATGATCCCTTTGGATTTCTGTGGCATTGGTTTTAATGTCTCCTCTTTAATTAAGGATTCATTTTTTTCTCTCTCTCTCTTTCTCTGTCTCTGTCTCATTAGTCTAGCTAAGGCTTTGCCAATTTTATTAAGCTTTTCAAAAAAATAACTTAGTTCCATTGTTTTTTTCTATTGTTTTTCTATAATGTCATTTATTTCTGCTTTAGTATTTATTATTTCCTTCCTTCTACTAACTTCGGGTTAAGTTTGTTCTTTCTCTGGTTCCTTGTGTTGTAATGTTAGATTGTTAATTTGAGATCTTTCTTCTTTTTTAATGTAAGTGTTTACCACTATTAACTTTCCTCTTAGTATTACTATCATTGCATCCCATAATTTTTGGTATGTTTTGTTTCTGTTTTTATCTCAATATATTTTCTAAATTTTCTTTTGATTTCCTTTTGATGTATCAGTAGTTCAAGAATGTGTTGTTTAATTTCCATGTACTTGAGAATTTACTAGCTTTCCTTTTGCTAATGATTTTGAGTTTCATTCCATTGTGGTTGAATGGACTTTTTATTATTATATAATGTTCTTATTTACATCTTGTGATAGTTTTTAACTTAAAGCCAATTTTTCCTGATAAAAGTATGGCCAACCCTACACTCTTTTGGATAGCATTTGTATGAAATATTTTTATCATTTCATTTTCAGCTTATTTGTGTGTTCTTCTATGTAAAGTGAGTCTCTAATAGACAGCATATAGCTGGATCTTATTTTTCATTTATTTTCTTCTCTTGTTACCTTCCTTTGTGTTTTGTTAATTTTTTGTAGCAACATACCTTGATTTTTTTATTTCCTTTTGTGTTTCTTCTATACATATTTTCTTTGTGGTTACTATGGAGACTATATAAAATATCATATTTATAACAATTTACTTTATAACAGCTCTAGCTCAATTACATACAAAAGACTCTGCTCCTTTACATCCCCAACACATTCTATATTATCAATGTTACAGATTACATCTTTTATATTGCATATCCATTAACCTAGTTAGTAGTTATATTTTTATTCTTTTATCTTTTAAATTCTATACCAGAATAAAAGTGATTTTTTCATCACTATTGCCATATTATATTTACCTTTACAAGTGCTGTATATATTTTTTTGTGTTTTCATTTGCTGTATAGTGTCCTTTTGTTTCAACTTGAAGGACTCACTTTCTCATATCCTGTAAGGCAGGTTTAATAGACTTGAAATCCCTCAACGTTTGTTTATCTAGGAAAGTCACCTCTCCTTCATTTATGAAGGACAGTTTTGGAAGACGTGGTATTCTTGGTTGGCAGTTTTCTTACTTTCAGCCCTTTGAGTACATCATCCTACTCCCTTCTGATCTCTACTGTCTCTGCTGAGAAATCCACTTAATCTTATGGGAGCTCCCTTGTTCAGGATGAGTCACTTTTTCTTTCTCTTTTTTTTTTTAATTTAAGATTTTCTCTTTATCTTTGACATATACAGTTGGATTTTAATGTGTTCTCACGTAGATTTCTTTGGATTTATCCTATGTATAGTCCTTTAAGTATCATGAATATGGATGTCTATTTTTTCCCTCAGATTTGGGGACTTTTTTGCCATTGTTTCTTCAAATAAGCTTTTTACCCATTTTCCTTTGTTTCCCTCTTCTCCTTCTGAGCTTTCATAGTGAATATATTGGTCCACTTGATGATGTCCCATGAGTTCCTTAGGCTTCCTTCACTTTTCTTCATTATTTTATTGTTGCTGTTGTTCCTCTAACTTGATAATTCCAAATGATCTGTCTTCAAGTTCACTGATTCCTCTGTTTGATCAAGTCTTCTGTTAAATCCCTCTGGTGAATTTTTCAATTCAGTTATTTTGTTCTTCAGCTCCTTAATTTCTGGGTTTTTTTAAATTAGTTTCTATCTCTTTATTGATATTCTCACTTTGTTCATGCAGTTTTCCTCATTTCATTTGATTGTCTGTGTTCTCTTGTAGTGCATTGAGTTTCTGTGTAATTATTTTAAATTCTTTTTTTTTGTGTGTGTGATGGAGTCTTGCTCTGTTGCCCAGGCTGGAGTGCAGTGGTATAATCTCGGCTCACTGTAGCCTCTGCCTCCTGCGTTCCAGCGATTCTCCTGCCTCAGCCTTCTGAGTAGCTAGGATTGCAGGTGCCCGCCACCATGCCCAGCTAATTTTTTTATTTTTGGTAGAGACAGGGTTACACCATGTTGGCCAGGCTGGTCTTGAACTCCTGACCTCAGGTGATCCACCTGCCTTGGCCTCCCAAAGTGCTGGGATTATAGGCATGAACCACTGCACTCAGTTCTGAATTCTTTGTTAAGTAATTTATAGATCTGTTTCTTCAGGTTAGCACCTGGAGATTTGTTTTATTCCATTGATTCAGCCATTTTTTGTTTCTCCATATTCCTTATTGTCTTTTTTTTTTTTTTTTTGGTGTGATTTCTGCATTTGAAAAAAATCACCACCTCTCTAGATTTTACAGACTGGATTTGT
The DNA here is from genome assembly GCF_000001405.40 of Homo sapiens. NCBI lineage: Eukaryota > Metazoa > Chordata > Mammalia > Primates > Hominidae > Homo > Homo sapiens. The sequence continues at coordinate 154,277,569 of NC_000004.12, read as the reverse complement.
GCAAAGGAAGATCTTTACCAATCAGCCTGGCTACAGATTCTGGGGGCCTCCTAAAGGTTTTCTGGGGATGAATCTTCACTGGGCTTATGTACGTGACTACCCAATTAGAGAGGTTTGCCAGTTTCTTTCTGAGGGGCTTTGTAGTCTCTTGCTCTCTCTGGTGTCTATCTGCAGTACTTCACATTCTCTGGCACTGCGGTAAGCCACTGAGTTCTCTTTTGTTCTCAGCAACCCTCAAGCATCCAAAGTATGCTGGCTCCCCATCAGTATTCTGAGCCAAGTTAACACAGAAACCATCTCCACAGGTAGCCCCCTCAAAAGCTATAAAGTTGGATGTATATTCTACCCTTCTCTTTCCATCCCAGTGGAGAAGCCCCAAGTTGTGTGTTTATTCTTAAGAGTGGCAGTAAGAAAAGAAAAAGCTATGCCAACAAAAGAAACAATCTTGCTGATGGCCTTTTTTTTATGGGTTAGAATGCTTATTATATGCCCAATTACAAAAGAAAACACAGTGACTGCTTGCATAGAAAAGAATAAAGATGACTACAGAACTGCAAAGAAGAGTTATACATGGCCTCTCTCATAAAGGAACAATCCTATTTTTATTGCAAATCAAATTTTCATAATATTTTCATAATATCAAATGGGATTGTAGCACAAAAGAATTTCACTAGCACTGTTGCTAGCTTAGGGGAATGTCCACTGGGGATTAAATGCAATGTCTACAATCTGACTATTCTTGGTTTTGAGCTTGCCTGGTGTCCCATGACTTCTTAACTGCTTTTGCAGTTCTCATGAAGGCTTTTTGGAACATATGTTCTTGTTAAGTCCGTGCCTTTGTGCAGCAAGGTCTGGGGTTTCCCATTCTGCCATCTTGCTAATGTCACTCCAGGCTTTTCTTAAGTAGTTGCAATATGTTTAGTTTCAATGGTTGGACACTTAAGTGATAACAGATAATTCAGAATCATCCAAATGTTTGAAAATCTGTTTCTCTCAAGTCAGTCATCAATAAGAAAATGTTGGCATTGCTTAGGAATAACAAACATAAAACTCTAGAATTATTCACTCATGCACTTCTATGCATACAATGTTTTCATAATTACTTTACCTAAATACTTTTATAATTATTGATTTTTACAGTCATATAGCATTAATTAATAGTTATCTAAGTATGCTTTTAAATTGCTGCTGTGAGCGGTCAGAGTTTTTTAACTCTATTTTTGTAAAGAAGAAAAAACCAAGAACATTAAATGTTTCACACTTTTTAAATACGGTGTCAGACTTGAAATAAAATTTATAAAAGCTTGAAAATGTAAAAGGTAAATTATTCTGTATGTTTCACTTAACTCATTCGAGTTGCAGGTACAGTGTTGGTTTTCATAGCTTACCCTTTCTACCTTGATAATGTGAAATGAATAGTAAGTTTCATCTATATGCCCAGAGATAGACTTTTATTTAAAATTTTCACAGTAAGCAGATGCCAAGAAGGATTCAAGTCCCTTAAGTTATTTTATCTTTTTTCAAGAGAATCTCCAATTTGGACTTTGTCAGAGGAAGAACATATAAAACATTTGCAGCTTCTTGCTGACTTCAGTGTCTAGTTTGAAGTATTTTCATTGAATGAAATTCTTTTGTGCTACAATTCCATTTGATATTATGAAAATTTGATTTGCAACAAAAATAGGATTGTTCCTTTATGAGAGAGGCCATGTATAACTCTTCTTTGCAGTTCTGTACTCATCTTTATTCTTTTCTATGCAAGCAGTCACTATGTTTTCTTTTGTAATTGGGCATATAATAAGCATTCTAACCCATGAAAAAAAGGCCGTCAGCAAGATTGTTTCTTTTGTTGGCATAGCTGTTTCTTTTCTTACTGCCATCCTTAAGACTTATATGACAAGCCAGTTGAAATAAAATTTCCTGTGTTTAGGAAATAAATTGTACCCGGAAGCACAGAACTTTGAGCAGTGGGGATAAAACATATTGTACTACTGTAAAGGCATATTCCTACCAAAAATCTAAGACATTTTTATATTAACAATATGTCTCTCAAAATGCAATAAAATAAGCATCAGATTATAATGCAATTTGAAAGAGTTCTCAACATGTGTGGTAACTTGATTCCACCATGATTGATTATAATCCATTACTTTGTCACTAAATGACTTCTTCCTAACTGGCTTGAAAAGAATAACCGTTTGGAAATCCTGATAAATGATTTTTAAACTTTGTTACAGTTTATGTTAAGCATAATGTTTGTAAAGAGAGTAATATATTCAGTTGGGTTTTCTTGCTCTTTTTCCTTAACAAATTCTGTTTTATCCCTTTTTTTTGACTGAGCTTTCACTGAAGTTTCAGTTTTGCAGGCAATATCACACTTGTTTCCTTTAATATTTACAGTGATCACTGCATTTTTGAGTGTTAGGCATTGAAAGGCTTCTAAGGAAAACTACTATTTGTTCCAGAGCCTTTTCTTTTTTCTGTTCTTTACAGTAAAATCCTTTTACATATCCAGAAAAAAAAAATAACAATTTGGCTTGGTTTAGGGGTCATTTTTGTTATTACCTCTAGCAAGATGGGTTTCAAGTTGGGGTCTCTGGGGCTTGTGTATGAGGGTTCAATGAGATGGCTCAGCAAAGATCTTGAGTAGCTGTTTTTTTTGTTGTTATTTTGTTTGTTTTTTCTAACTACTGCAAATCTCACTATCAGATATGGTATTATAGCAGTGAGTTATTTGAAAAAAAAGTTAGTTAAAAAAAATTGCTTTTGGCTTACAGTGATCCTGTAGGCAGAGACCAGGATTTTTCTAATCTCTCACAATAGAAAATGTCAGTGTCCTTTCTCCTCTGTCTCCCTTTTTAACCTCCTTTCTTCCCGTACTCATTAAGCATCTACTACATACAAGAAAATAAACTTGATACACAAAATAACATGTTTTATTCCTGAAAAATTACACTGAGCAAAATACGCCAGATACTACATGATACACAAGTATATGAAATTTTCAAAGCAAAACTAATATAGAGTTATAAAACATATACAATACAAATATATAGAAAATCTCCTCTGCTGTCATGGAACTTAGTCCAATTTAAGCAGGCAGATGAGATCAGTCTTCAACTATGTTCAGTACAAGTCCTTAGATGACAAATTAGTAGCACAATCTAAGTGCCAAAAGGGTTAGAAACAAAAGAGGAGAGATTTGTCTTCTCTATCAGAGATGGTAAACAAGAAAACTCAGAATTGGAGTCAGACCACAGCTGTGTTTTGTTCAACCAATATAGTGGGGTTTTTCCCCATAAATTAAATTATTTTCCAACACTTAGAAATTGAGAGATTTCAAATAAAAATAAATATATAAAATTTTGAGCTTCTCTTGAAAAGCCCAGAATCTTCAGCATCCTGAAGCCTCTTTTCCCTGCTGACAGCGATAGGCTGACAGTGACTGTCTGAGACATTTTCTGGCCTCCTCCACCATTTGACCTCTACATTTGTTCCTGCTTCTTGCTTTTACCCAAATGCATATGGGATGATGAGCCCTGCTCTGTACTCATCTCTGACACCATGTCAGCTCCTGTTCCTTTTAGATGTTTCCTCTTACTTTCCTCTTGTGACTTGTTACCACTGTCTTATACATGGCCTCTGTTACTGTGCACCCAGCAGCAGGGTAGACTCCTATAGCCTTACTCCCTATCCATCTCTCCCCAATCAGGACAGTGTGCATACTTTTACCAGTATGTGTAATCGTATAGGGCAGGATGACAGTTAAGTAAGAAGCACAGGCATTGCAAGATTGGGAGTGTAAAACAGATGCCATAAATTACAGGCCTAATATCAGAGGACTAAGGCCAGTAAAGGAACTATGAGGAAGCTTCTTTCATTTATTTTTTAGAATATACATATATATAATATTTTTTCTATGTATACATATTTGTTTTTTTGTTTCTTTTAAATTTAAGTTTTTATTTCAGTAGGTTTTGGGGAAACAGATGGTCTTTGGTTACATGAATAACTTATTTAGTGGTGATTTCTGAGATTTTGGTGCACCCGTCACCCAAACAGTGTATATAGTATCTATTGTATAGTCTTTTATCCTTCACTTCCCCACCTTTTCCCCCAAGTCCCCAAAGTTCATTGTATCATTCTTATGCCTTTGCATCCTCTTAGCTTAGCTCCCACATACGAATGAGAATACACAATGTTTGGTTTTCCATTCCTGAGTTACTTCACTTAGAATAATAGTCTCCAATTCCATCCAGGTTGCTGTGAATGCCATTATTTCATTTCTCTTTATGGCTGAGAGGTATTCCATGGTGTGTGTGCATATATATATATCACATTTTCTTAATCTACTCGATGATTGATAGGCATTTGGGCTGGTTCCATATTTTTGCAATTGTGAATTGTGCTGCCCTAAACACGCATACACAGGTATCTTTTTTGTATAATGACTTCTTTTCCTCTGGGTAGATATCCAGAAGTGGGATTGCTGGATCAAATGGTAGATCTACTTTTAGTTCTTTAAGGAATCTGCAGACTGTTTTCCATAGTCGTCGTACTAGTTTACATTTTCACCAACAGCGTAGAAGTGGAACTATGAGGAAGTTTCTGAGGAATAGTATGTGAGTAGTAAACAGGAGGCCAAGGACCAAAGATGGATTAAAAAGAGGAGGAAGTGGCCAATAAGCACATGAAAAGATGCACAATATCACCAGACACCAGATAAATTAAATTAAAACCACTGTAAGATACTACATATCCACTAGGATGGCTACAATTTAAAAGATTGATAATACCAATCAATGTGGATGTTATCAGTCCGTTCTCACACTGCTATAAAGATACTACCTGTGACTGGGTAACTTACAAAGGAAAGAGGTTTAATTGACTCACAGTTCTGCATGGCTGGGGAGGCCTCAGGAAACTTATAAACATGGTGGAAGGGGTGGAGGCATGCCTTACATGGCAGTAGGTGAGAGACAGTGGGCAAGAGCAGGGAAAACTGCCTTATAAAACCATCAGATCTCATGAGAACTCACTCACTATCATGAGAACAGCATGGGGAAAGTGCCCCCATGATCCCATCACCTCCCACCTGGTGCCTCCCTTGACACGTGAAGATTATGAGGATTACAATTTGAGATGAGATTTGGGTGGGGACACAAAGCCAAACCATATTAGTAGAGCAACTGCCATTCTCATATGTTGTTAGAAGAAATGTAAAATGATACTACTTTGGAAAAATAGTTTTGCATTTTCTTATAAGGTTAAATGTATACTTACCGTAGGTATTTAGGCCTTGATCAGTGAAAACATGGGTCCACACACACACTTGTGTATGAATGTTCATAGCAGTTTTTTTCATAATAGCCAAAAACTGGAAATAATTCAAATGCCCATCCCTAGGTAAATGAAAAAGAAATTGTGGTTTTCCATTTAATAGAATATTACTCTGCAATAACAATTGTATGAATTTTTATACATAAAATAACATGCTTGATTCTCAAAAAATGCTGAGCAAAAGAAATCAGGTATTGTGTAATTCACAAATGTATGAAATTTAAGAGGCAGAACTAATGTAGACTTATAGAAAGCAGATCAGTGATTTACTGGGGCCAAAAGTGAGAGAAAACTGAAATGGGCATAAGAAAGCATTTTGAGGTGTCGAATATATTCTATGATCATGATACTGATCATAGAAAATATTTTATGCTTATGATACTGATTACACAGTGTATATATTTTCAAGATTCATAGAACTCTATATTTAAAATATGTACAGATTATTGTATGTAAATTTCACATAAATGAAATTGATTAAGTAAAAAAATACTTTTACAAAACAAGGCAGGCAATCCTAAGAGGGTGACACATAGACAACTGGGAAAGATGAGCAGCAAAGGACATAAAATATTACAAGGACATCAAAGTACTAACTTGGGGACCAAATGAATACTTGGGACCCTTCCGGCTGCTGTAGATGACTTTTTCCACAGAGCTTCCCATACAGACAGCTGCCCTACCTGGTTTGCCTTAAAGGCACTCAGCATCTTCTCTTAGTATATCAGTCCCCTCAAGAACTTTGCATTTCTTCATTGCTTCCTGTCACATAAAGCGAGGATCTGCTCATCCACTTATTTTGGTAAATAAAGTTTTATTGAAACACAGCCACACTCCCTTGGTTATGCATTGTCTGTGACTACTTTCATGCTACAATAGCAGATTTGAGTATTTGCAACAGGACTGTGTGACTTGTAAAGCCTAAAATAATTAATATCTGGCCCTTGACAGAAAAATTAGCTGATTCTTGACATAAAGCCACACTTATCTCCCTGGCTCTCAAGCTCTCCCATTCTCTTGCTACCTCTCTTACCCTTCTTCACACTGTATTTATACTTCCTATTTAAATTTATTCCCCACTCCTGCCTTATTTGGTTCTAGATCTAATTACAAGGATTGTCTTCTTGCCTCTATCAGTCCTTGCTAATTCTTCTTTCATGTTGGTATTTAGTCTGTTCCCGTAACTTAAAATGACTTCCTTCTCTTTTGTCTTTCCAATTCCTATACCTAACTGAATTTCTGTTTCTCCCTTAAAGTTATCTCTTTGCCCCTGCTCTATCTGAACAAATCTTGAATTAATTCATGTCTTGCAGTTAAGTTGCTGGTTACTCTCTAGTTGGGTTGCTTTTTCCTACAGCTAGATCGGAAGCTGGTTGAGGGAATATTTCTTTTCTTTATGCTCTCATAGCCTCCTTTCCCACTCCCACCTCCAGTGTTTTGGGGCAGTGTGTCAAATGTCTTTAATCTGTCCATGTCTCTCCATCTCCCATCCCACAGTCCTAGGTCATTGTCTTCTGCTTGGACTATTGCAGTATTATCTTAATTGGCCTCTCTGCTCCATTCTTACCCCTCTCTTCTCTGTTCTCACAGCACTTAGTATGATATTTTTAAAAAGCAAATCATATTTTACTCTACTCCTTAAAATGCTTCCATGACTTCCCTTTGCACTTACAATAAAATCTGACCTTTGCTTATCCTGCCATCTCCACCTTCTTCTTCTTCCCCTACTCATTGTGCTTTACCCAACCAAGCCCTTTCCTAGCCCACAGCCTTTGTGGTGGTGGCTCTTTTTCCCAAAATCCTCTTCTTCCAGCTGTTTCTATGGCTTCTCATCCTTCACTGTCCCCAGACCTCTCTAAAGTCTGGTGCTTCCCCTGAAAAAGAAGTACCTTATATCAAGTAACCTTATTTCTCTCTTTCTAAGGGCCTGACACAATTGAAACTTTTCTATGATTATGTATGTTTTAATGGTTTATTGTCTGTCTCCTTACACAAGTTAATAACCACCATGAGGACAGAGATCTTTTCTATCTTGTTTGCTAGTATATCCCTAGCACCTAGCATGGGATCTGGCTCATTGAAGACAATAAGTTATTGTTGAATCAATGAACAAGTGAAAACATAGTAGGCAAATAATAAATAATCAGTATTTTCTCTTGTGTTTCCATGAAATTTTTTTATCCTAATGGAGTTCTTTTTTTACCTAATTTTTACAGGTACTTCTATTGTGACTGTTAAAGCTTTTGCTCCTGACTCAATTCAGGACAGCATGAAATATTCAATTTTTAGTGGAAATGAAGATGGAGTTCTTTCCCTGTGCTCTAAGTCAGGTAATCCTTCTCTACCCTATACTAGCTTTATTTTCTGCTCCATTTAATGTTATTTCTGCAAAATTTGCAAAGTAGAAATTGTTAGAGCTAAGTAATTTAAAAGGTAAGCAAGAAAGAATTTTTTAAGCTAGCCTATGAAAAATTATGGGAAATCAAAAACTATTTATTTATATTCACTAAGAATTATATTCTTAATATTTCCAAACTAGACAGTGTCTATCCTGCCCTTCAAATTTTTGAAGATAAATTAGCTTCCACTTACAATTTACCCATGTATTTGGGAAAATTGGAGATAGAGTAGTGAGATCATTGACACTGAGTCTGAATTCAAAAATAAGAACACATCTAGCTGTAAGGAGTTTTCATCAGAGATTCTTGTAATTTGCTACTGAATGTCAACAACACAACAACAAAAAAAGAACAGCTGTGAAGGTTTCTACACAGTGGTAAAGAAATTACTTCCAAACACAGCATGTATTAAACTTAGCTTCAGTAAGACCATTACTGTTTAAAATGAATACCAATTGATTACTTCAAACATACCTTTTTTCACTAACAACTCTGTAGTAGATACACATCTACTGCTTTGTTGTCAAACTTCAAGAAGAATGTTTCTAATAATGTCTCTGTTGCCATACAACCACCTTATTTAATCTATACTACATGCACCTGGGAAGAATTGAGAGCGGGTAATTCCTTAGGTAAATGTCCTTTCATCCAGGGTGGTGTTATGACTTTTTGGTCCATACAGCCTTTGGTCAGCAACCTTTCTGAGGTAGCCTGCTAGAAGTCTTCATCTCTTCATCCCATTGTTGCATTAAAGGGTAGTATAGGAAACCTGTTCACGAAAGGATCGTTTGTGAACATCACCAAGTCTTAATTTTCTTGCAGTCCAGGTGTCTGAGGGTTCTGGGAAAGCAGCCCAGATTAAAATGCTTAGGAACGAAGAAGAGTAGCATAGCTGGCATATTTTCCCAGGCTATCCAGACCCTCCGCCACCGCACTCCTAACATGGCCCAGACCTGGTCTTATTTCTTCTACAGTCCATCATTAAAATGCAGATAAAATCTTCCTAGGGTTAGTCCAAAGAGGTCATTCACAGGAACATCTTTATTTTTTGATTAGATAACTTATTTACATTGAGTTTTAAAATTTTATTGTGAAATATCTGCCAGATGGTATGTTGAAACATGTAAGACTGTTTAATGGACAATAGTAAAATAAAAACCCATACACATGCCACCCATCTCTGGAAATAGACATTAAGGTAGCCCACCCTTATCCTTAGTTTCTTTTTCTCCAGGCTTAGTTACCTGTGGTCAACCATGGCCCAAAAATGTTAAATGGGAAGGTCCAGAAATAAACAATTCATATGTTTTAAATTTCTCACTATTCTGAGTAGTGTGATGAAATCTCACATTATCCTACTCTGCCCCACACAGAAGTAAATCCTCCTTTTGTCCAGGGTCTCCACACTGTACATGCTCCCTGTCTATTAGTCAGTAGCTGTCTCAATTCTCAGTTTCACTGTCACATATTGCAGTACTTATATTCATGTCACTCTTATGTAACTTAATAATGGCCCCAAAGCACGAGTGTAGTATTCTGGATTCTGGCAATTTAGATATGCCAAAGAGAAGTGGTAAAGCGTTATTTTTTTGGGGGGGGGAAAGTGAAAGGTGAAAGTTCTCAATTTAATAAGAAAAGAGAAAAGATTGTATGCTGAGGTTGCTAAGATCTACAGTAAGAATGAATATTCTACTTGTGAAATTGTGAAGAAAGAAAAAAAAATTTGTGCTAGTTTTGCTATGGCACCTCACGATGCAAAAGTCATGGCCACAGGGCATGGCAAATGCTTAGTTAAGAATGGAAAAGGCATTAAATTTGGGGGTGGAAGACTTGAATAGAAAAACGTGTTCAATTTGACAGTAACATGTTGCAACAGAAAGCATTGAGCCCTCTATGAAGGCTTCAGCAAGGAATCCCCTGAAACGAGTGACCCTAAGCCATTTACTGCAAGTAAGAGATGGTTACACAGATTTGGAAATAGGTTTGGACTGAAAAATACAAAAACTACTGGAGAGGCTGCATCTGCCAACAAAGAAGGTGCTGCCGCATTTCTGAAGATGTTGAATAAGGAGAAAGGAAACCATCTAAAGCAAATCTCTAATTGCCGTAAAGCTAGGCTTCGGGAAGAAGATGCCCAATGGAACCTACATTCATAGATGTACAAAGGAAGCACCAGGGCATAAAACATGGAGGGACAGATGAACTCTGGTACTATGTGGCAACACTGCAGGACATATGATAAAATCAAGTGTAGTATACAAAGTGAAGAACCCACATGCTCTCTGAAACAAAAAATTATCTGCCTATGTTCTGGCAACATAATAATAAAGCATGGGTGACACACATCTTGTTTATGGAATGGTTCCACCAGTGCTTCATTCCAGAAGTTAAAAAAAAAAATACTTGGATGAGGAAAGGTTGGAATTCAAAGTTCTGTTAATATTAGACAATGCACCTGGCCATCTTGCTATGAAAATGAAAATGTTGAGGTTGTATTTTTACCTCCAAATAAAACCTCATTGCTTCAGCCCCTTGAGCAGGCATCATTTGGTTTATCAAGGTCACACACCTGCCTGGTATTTGAGTTATCAAGGTCACACACCTGCCTGGTATTTGATCAGCCACTAATTGATTGATGCAGATCATAATCTGGATGTAATGTAATGCTGGAAATCATTCACTGTTGCTGTCGCAGTAACATTCATCAAAGCTGCCATGCATGAATTAAAACCAGAAACTGTAAATGCCTGCTGGAAGAACTTCTAGAGTGAAGTCATGAATGATTTTAATGGCTTCCTGGGGATTGACGGAAAAGTTAGGAAAATAATTCACACAGCAAGACAAGTTGGTGGAGAAGGGTTTGCCGACATGCTTGATGAAGAAGTAGAAGAACATATTGAAGGCCAATGAGAATTGTTAATAAATGAGGAAGAAATTTTTGAGTCATCTACAGAGAAAGGGAAGACAAAGAAGAAACTAAAGCAGAACGAACAATGTAGACATTACTGAAATTTGCTCAAGTGTTTCCAATCACACAGATATGAAAAGACAAAATTATAGAATACAATCCTCAGATAAAGTGCAGCATTGAAGTCACCCATATGATCACAGGATTATAACCTCTGTACCAACACTTTGATTAAAAACTGACAAGCTTTCTTTTTTTTTTTTTTTTGAGACGGAGCCTTGCTCTGTTGCCCAGGCTGAAGTGCAGTGGCATGATCTCGGTTCTCTGCCACCTCCACCTCCTGGGTTCAAGCGATTCTCCTGCATCAGCCTCCCAAGTAGCTAGGACTACAGGCATGCGCCACCACACCCAGGTAATTTTTTGTAATTTTTTTAGAGACGGGGTTTCACTGTGTTAGCCAGGATGGTCTCGATCTCCTGTCCTCGTGATCCACCCGCTTCACCCTCCCAAAGTTCTGGGATTACAGGCGAAGCTTTTATTACAATGATTTCCAAAAGGTTTTGGAAAAACAAACAAACAAACAAACAACAAAAAAAAAACCCCTGCAACTCTCAAGTACTCCCAACCATCAACATCATCTGCTCTTGACATCCAACCATCGACATCATCGTGGCTCGTTGATCCAGGACCACTTGAAGCAGATGATGATCCTTCTCCTGACATACCATCAGACATTCAGTAGTAGCCTACTGCTATGTCACAGTGCCCATGTCATTTACCTCACTTTACCTTATCATGTGGGCATTTTGTCATCTCACATCATCACAAGAAGAAGGATGAATACAGTACAATACGATATTTTGCAAGAGAGACCACATTCACGTAACTTTTACTACAGTATAATTGTTCAATTTTATTAGTCGTTGTTAATTTCTTACTGTGCCTAATTTAGAAATTAAACTCCATCATAGGTATGCATATATAGAAAAAAGCATAGTATATATAGGGTTTGGTACCATCCACAGTTTCAAACATTCACTGGGGGGTCTCAGAATATATCCCCCACAGGGAAGGGGGAACTACTGTACTAGAATTTTCGAATTTTTGAAAGCCTCTGTGTGCCCCTTCCTTTTTATATCTCTTTTTTCCTTTCTCTTTTTTTTTTGTTGTTCAGAAATATGTGTACATTGCAGAATATCTAAATTGAGCCAATTAACATACACATCACTTTATGTCTCTCTTTTTTGTCCCAGAGATAATTAGTAACTTGAATTTGTATTGATCACTGGCTTCTTTTTTTCTCGTAAAGAAAGACAGGTTCTCACTTTGTTGCCCAGGCTGGCCTCAAACTCCTGAACTCGAGCAATCTCCTTGCCTTGGCCTCCTGAAGTTCTGGGATTATAGGCATGAGCCACTGCACCCAACTGATCGCTGACATTTTTGGTTATAATTTTTCCACTGCATTTGAATTTCTAAACAATATGTCATTTACTTTTACCTTGACTTAAGTATGATAATAGAATCATGCTACGTACTCTTCTATGACTTTATTCCTTTGCTCAACATTTTTACTATGACTTACAGTGCATAAACCATTACATGTTAAAGAGAAATAGCAAAGAATGAAATGTACAGGCTTGTATGTCTCTTGTTAGATTTCTCCTAAGTACATTATGCTTTTTCTCACTACGGTAAATGAAAAAAAATGCTTTTCCTGACGGTGCTGGTGTATGTATTTGAAACTGATTTTTGTCTTTTGATTTTTTGTCTGGCAAATTTGCAAACTAGAGACTGACATTTTTCTGTATATTTGACACATAAAATCATATCTGAAAATGACCACTTTCCCCTGTCTGAAGTTATATAGTTATTTTTCTTATTTCGGTGGCTAGCCTCGTTACTTTAACATATATAAAGTCCAACATTAATCAATATTCTCTTCCTGAGTAATACAAGAGATTTGCAATTACTGATCTCGAAGTGCTCCTATATCAATTTACATGCTTTTGTGACCACAATTTTGGTTCTTTCAAATTAGGCATTATTAGTATTTTTCAGTTGATTTAGCTGCATCCTTGTTGATGTCTCTGCTAACCATTCTTTCTTACATCTCAGCCTTTCTTCTAGTATTATTTTTTTCTGCTTGAACTATCTCCTTTAGTGAGGGTTTGTATAGTAAGCTCTCTCAGATTTAGGTAGTTAAAAATGTACTTATTTAATCCATGCTTTTAAAATACTTTTGCTGGTCTTGTAATTCTAGATTCACAGTTATTTTATCTCATCATATTAAGATATTATTCTACTGGCTTCTGGCATCCCATTGTCGCATTAAGAAGCTAGCTGTTGATCTAAACGCCATTCATTTGTATCTTTTCTTGGAACTCCAATTAGACAAATGTTGGGCTATGTGACTCTCTGCTACATCTCTTTTTTATATTTTTCATCTGTCTTTCTCTTCATTCTGAGGAACTGTATTTTTCATTTCCAGTAGTTCTGTTGAATTTTTTTCAACTCTTTGTCTTTTGAAAAATAGCCTCTTGTTCCTTGCTCATATTTCCAAGGGTTTTTAATGTATTTAAACATATATAATAATTCTGTGTCCAACAATTCCTGCATCTGAAGCCTTTGATGTTTGGTTCTGTTGTCTATGGGTTTGCTTGCTGTCATTTATGGTGCCTTGCTTCTCTATGACTTTAGTGCTTGTAGACTATGAGCTACTCATTATCCTTGAAAGCTCTTTGACGATTCTCTGAAGCCTCAGTTGAATTTATGCCCTTAAAAGAGGATTTGCTTCCTTTTCTGCAATTCACCTGGAGAATCATCAGGGAGAAGCCAGTTTAAGTTTAATTCCTAAGAGTTTTAAATATGTATAACTATGATAGTATAGCTACCATAAATTCAGGCTTAAACTAATACGGAAGATTTTTTTTCTCCCTTTCAATCAACACCAAGGTTAAAAAAAAAAGTCAAGCTTCTGGTGGTTTTTTGGCCAAAACCTTTTGGAAGAACATTGTAATTAGAAGTTGTAGTCTCTTTCTTTCTAACTCATCACCGTTGCTGCAGATTGTAATCCTTCTGTGATCATATGGGTGACTTTGATGCTGCATTCCATCTGTGGATTGTATTCATGAGTTTGTTCTTTAATATCTACACAATTTGAAACACTTCAGCAAATTTCAGTTATGTCCACATTGCTAATTCTGCTTCAGTTTCAGTTTTCTTTTTTTTTTTTTTTTCAATAATGGCCACTGATTTGGAATATATGCAGCCTTTAGGTTTCCAGCTTTATGCTAGTTTTTCCTATTAGCCCCTTCACCTTTTGTGGGTTCTCACCTTATTTTCCACACTCCATGCAACTATCAGAAATGAATAGTAAGATAAAAGGTTGTGGTAGAAATCTTTGGAACAAAAATGAGCTGTTAGTACTTACTAACCTCTCAGGATTTCTGTCTTCATTTCTGTTTTGTCCTCTGTAGAATTCTTACAACTGTACCAACTCAATAATGCATTGTAATACATACACATATATGTCTATGCATATATATGTATTATATATATAATTTATCATGCATTTTAGTTGTTTTTATCATGAAGATTGGTCAAGTATATAGTTTAACATATTGCTGTCAAGAAAGCTTTTTTAAAACTTTAATTATGATATTAAATGCATCTTTTATGCTACCTTTGACAAATTATCATTAAAATTGTATCTAATTGTATAGGTTTTCTGAATGTATGTATTTTAAACATACACCACTTAAAATGTGAGACTGATATGTATAATAAATCAATAATATTTATCTCTAAGATTATAGTAACTTAAGAATAAAAGTGTGAGAAAACCATTTTATTAGTAATTAGTTTAATAAGTTGTCATTAGACAGATCTCTGATGAGAACTCTGTTTTCTGTCAATTTGTGCCAGTTTACCCTCTGTTCCATCGTCACAAACCAAGTTGACTCTGTATTTAAACTTCATGCCACTTTAGTGTAAAAACATGTATTTCTCACTGTCTAAATCAGCAGCAATTTTAGAGCTTGACTAAGGTTTTGTATGTAAATAACAGATGGCAGCATTCATTTTAGTATTTATTAGAGTGGCGCAAAACAAAACTGATCAAACTTTCAATGTTTCAAAGACATTGTTTAAGTAGGAGACGGTTTGAAAGCTACTGAATAACATAAATATTTATCACATTCTGCTTTGGTTTGTACAAATGCATGTACACAGTATATAATTGATGGAAGTAACCTGATTATGTTATCAAGCATGTAGCATTTGATGAATCTTAATCTCATTTGGATGTGTATTTCATAACTTTGTCAAAAGCTACATAATGTATGTATTTTTTAGAAGAAAATGTTACTACCATTTTTTTCTCAAGTTATTCCATAACTGGCACATTAACATATAAGCAAGAACATGAAGTTAGTATTTGTGAGGCTTCTTACTCTAAGGAAGGTGTTAGTTTCTGCGTATACCATTAGACAGAGTCCAGTAGTACTTTCCTCTCACTGATGACAGTACACGCTTGATGTCTTTGTGAAAACTACCCATGTATTATCCAAGGAAAAATGTGGATCTAGCAGCCTTGAATCATCCCACAGACTGGTTATTGTCTTTTCTACTTGCACGACTTTCACAGCATATGCCAGTTATTACCCCAAAAATAAAAACCATGCAAGGAAAGCATTAGAACCGTCGATCCATTCCAAGTGCAAAATTCCAATTATCAAAGCCTAAACACAAGCCTTTTATTAAAAATCAACTTTGATCTGCACTATAATTGGCACACTTTCTACTCAGTGACACGGGCAATTTAGTGTTGCATTTCTATTCTATTTTTCCTTTACAAACAGTAACAGAACATGATAGCCAGGCAAGTGCTCTTTTTGGTGGAGACAAGAGATCTGGGTGAGAGCTGTGGACCCACCTCAGACTCGGGCTCTGGTGACATTTCGGGGTGTGGGAATCAGCCTTTGTTTCAGGGAGGTTTCTGAAGACCACCTAGTTTCATCACCAGCATATCAAAAAGCATCTTAATTATTCTCCAGCTGCCCAAAGTTAGAGCTACTCTAAATTTTCTGCCAGGGGTGTTGGTCACAACAGACTATGGTTTGTGAAGTAATTTGGTTCTAGTACTAAATTGATAACTAAATTTGATATCAAAAAATGATACTGAGTTTATGAAATTTTAAATTTGGTAGTATAGTGAGTTAATATATATTGTTTTTTTTTCCTAACAGAATATAAGCTACAAAATCTCCCCCAAAACACCCAATAACAAAGACAGAATATTTGAACAGGATATGCCTCCCACTAGAATTCAAGTAGGTGCCAGATGACCTAAAGCTTCTTGGACTAGGTTATCTGGGGAAGCTGATTCAGATAGAGCAATAAAAACTGCAGCTCCCAGGCCATAGTTACGGAACATAGTTCCAGTACAGATTCTTTCACCAGAGGATCGAACTTCTAGTAGTTGATGGCTATTAAATGTTCTCTTTCTAAATTCAGAGTTCACAGAGATATTAAATCCATATGTGATGATGAGGGGCAGACAAACACGAGTAACACATCGTGGAATCTACATGTTACTACAAAGAGACATTCCAAATATGCGTTATGTCACTTGCTCCTCACAGCCACTCTTTGAAGTCATTGTTAACATCCCATTTTATATAGAAAAGGAGACTCAGCTTTATGTCAACCGCATAACTTATCCAGGTCACAAAGTTAGGAGGTGGTGGAGCCAGGTAATTGACCTAAATTAAATTTCTAGGCCTCGGATTTATGCCTGGTTTCAGGTTTCTCTAACTCCAAATTAGTGTTCATTCAGAAACTCTCTATTTGATGGACTTGCTGACAGTGAAAGCCAAGTAAATAAAAATAATACATTGAGTCGGAAATTTTATTGTAAAGTGGAGGAAAAAACAGTAAAATCTAGACAAGGAAATTATGTTAAAGGAGTAAGTTTCTTAATTTGCTGGGGGTGGGGGAAACTAGAGTATGGCATCACCCTCAAAAATCTGCTTCCCTAACCTGGATCTGCCTTTTATATGAGGGCATAAAAGTATTACTGTGTGCCTTCTGGAGGCCAGACCCTGAGCCAGACACTGGAGATATGATGGTACGTAAGAGATGGTGTATGGAGCTTATAAACAAGAGGAATAATAGGACAAAAAACAGATGAAGGTGAACAAAGCGATGATGCAGCTGCTGGGAAATGCAGAGGCTTTGTAAGAGACTTTGGGGAGGTGATGGTACAGGGATGGTGATCTGGAAAAATCCCTGAGGAAGAATCGCTGTGTGAGCCATTCCAGGCTGATGGAACCGCATGCGTGATGACTCTTTAATAAGCATTCAAGAAGCAGATGCATATTATGATCATGGAAGGGTTTCATGCAGAACAATGACAGCATCTTTTTTTTTATTAAATTCAGAATGAAAACTGGATTAGGGAGAGACCAATTTTGTGGCTAATGCAGGGGACAAGGTGGGAAGTGCTGGTGGCTTGAAGGAAGGCAGCAGTAATGGGGCTGGAGTGAAGCTAAATTTGAAAGATAGACTTTCCAGACATGGCCAGGGGGTAAATATGGAGAGAGATAGCTCCCAGGTCTTGGTATTTCATAGTTTCTTTCTCTCTACATATTTGAACCTGCAAACATCTGCAAGATCCCAAATCTTTTCACAATGACCCGGGTCGGTGGGGAAAGGAGGCCCGGCAATGGGAGGCTTTTGCGGGACAGGTGAGCTGTGAGCACATGAGGCAAAGATGCTTTGAGTCATTTTAAGAATAACTATGGCCAGGTGCTGTGGCTCACGCCTATAATCCGAGCACTTTCAGAGGCCAAGGCAGGTGAATCACGAGGTCAGGAGTTCGAGACCAGACTGGCCAACATGGTGAAAACCCGTCTCTACTAAAAATACAAAAAATTGGCTGGGCATGGTGGCGGGTTCCTGTAACTCCAACTACTCAGGAGGCTGAGGCAGGAGAATCGCTTGAACCCGGGAGGCGTAGGTTGCAGTGAGCCGAGATTTCACCACTGCACTCCAGCCTGGGCGACAGTGCGAGACTCTGTCTCAAAACTAAATAAATAAATAAAATAAAAAATAAAAGAATAACTACAACATCATTTTCTTTTTTTTCTCCTTGGAAATAAAAATAGGACAACTCACTGTGAAAGAACCCAAGTTTCTTGATTTTGAAGTCAGAAATGAGGTTCAACTCATCGTTTTAGCTGAAAGTAGTGGGCATAGAGCCTATTGCAAAGTAGCAGTCTTGATACAGGATGAGAATGATAATTCACCATGCTTTGAACAAAGCATTTACCAGGCATCAGTGTCTGAAAGCCAACTCTACAATGCTCATGTCATACAGGTAACAGAAATATATTTGTGTGTGTGTGTGTGTGTGTGTGTGTGGGTGTGTCTGTGTGAGAGAGAGAGAGAGAATTATTACAAGTCAATGTACATAAAAATTTCTAATCCCTGTAGTACAACACTCTTTCCAGGCCATGTACATTTTATAGATGGGATGAAACCTTAGGTTAAAGAAAATCTGAAATTCTTGCACTGTCTCTTCCTCTTTATTTATTCAGTGCTCAATTACTGACATCTGCTTTCTCTAGGAGTACTGTTGAGCACTAGAAGTATGCATTTATTAATACAATAGAAGTATGCATTTAGTGTAATGAGTGAAAAGAGGAGACACAGCCTCCTCCTGAAGGAGGAGTGTAAGACTTCATAGAATAAGGATATTTACACTAAGTCTTCAAGGTGAACAGGCATGTGGACGGATCTGCTTTCAGGACTAGCCCCATCTCAGTAAAAGGCCCCAAGTCCTGGAGAAGCATCCATTCACAGGGAAGTTTTGTTCATGCTGTAAAACCCACCCATCCTTGATACTTTCTCCACCTGCCTCAGGACAAGTGCTTGTTTCATCTTTCCCTCCACTATTGAATTGAGTTTTTGTAGTCAGGAAGCTGGGCATTAGGAGATCTCTAACCTCCCGTGACTTTGGAAAGGAAATCAGTATAAATCCAACTTCCAGGCAAAGTTAGCCACAGGGAGGGTCATTCCTTTTGGCCCCTGGAATGTCATGGCTGTGGTCAGCACTTCATGCTTATTACACCCCTTTTTCTCTGGGCTAGGTGGGGTAAGGCGTTTACATGGCATGCTAGCATATTTTCTGGACAAAACCTGCAACAGTTCTTTACTGTGCAGACACCTTCACCTCATTATATAAAAAGACCCCACAGTGGCTCACAACTGTAATCCCAGCACTTTGGGAGGCCAAGGCAGGTGGATCACCTGAGGTCAGGAGTTCGAGACTAGTCTGACCAACATGGTGAAACCCCATCTCTACTAAAAATATAAAACTAGCCTGGTGTGGTGGTGGGCACCTGTAGTCCCAGCTACTTGGGAGGCTGAGGCAGGAGAATTGCTTGAACCTGGAAGGCAGAGGTTACAGTGAGCTGAGATCATGCCATTGCACTCCAGCCTGGGCAATAAGAGCAAAACTCAATCTCACAAAAAAAAAAAAAAAAAAAAAAAAAGCCTTTCTTTTACTGCAATTCCAGTTTCTGAAGCACATATCCATGCTGTTGGTGAAAACAAGACCAATAGAGTCTCAGCTGCCTTGGAGTTTTAGCTCTGTGCCCCTACACCCCGTCCAGGATATCTGGGATCCCCTAGGCTATGACTGCAGGTGTATTTTGTTTTATAGCAGCCTGATTGCTCTAGTCACCAGCCTGTTCCAGATGTGCTGTGTCTTTACCCTGGTTTCAGCCATGACTGAGATGTTTCAGAAGAAAGAACATTCACTTTTCCAGTCTTTATCATCCCTGCCCAGTGAGGCTGATCAGTGGGGATGGCAGATGCCTCCATTGCCACCTTGTCACAAGAGGATCCCCACACTGGGGCCCTGCATCGTTTCACTTCTCTGTCCCAAATGCTAACTGGGATGGAGCTAAATTGCTCAGTGTGAAATAAGTGAAGGCAAAGACCCATATAAAGCCCAGGTGCACTGAATGAGAGAGAGCCTGACCCACCAGCCCTTCAAATTATGGCAGACTTGTAGAAGGCTGAGTCAGGGACAGATAGAATGAACTTTGTTCTTTCCATTTTCCAATCATTGAGTTCCCAGGAAGCTAGCACTACCATTCTGCTGTGTCCTGTTCAGAAAATTAGAAATGAAGGAGGCTCTGGAGCTCATACCAATTGTGGTGGTTGCTTCCTGGTTTTTGACCCCACATTGCTCAATGCCCTCCTTTGGTTACAGCCCCACAAACTCCTTTGAGGGTCTGACCCTCTGTTGATGCAGTCCTGGGGGTGTTGTCATCAAGATATTGACCTGCCTCCCACTCCCATCCCGCCAAAGGTGTGGTGAACTGCCTTGCTTCTCTCAGTCACACAGACTTTCTCTCCCTGAAATTTGAATCTTCGGTGAAGGGACACCAAGACAGAGACAAATTACAGCCAATTCATCTTGATGACAACAACTCAAAGAAGCTGTGCTTTACATTCCCTAGAGCCACTCAGGCTCTTGTATTCACTGGGCACTGTCTTTCTGATACATCTCTCCCCGGTTGGGTTAGCACTAGTTAAGATGTGCCGGTACCCTAGAACCATAGCTGATAGACCACCCAGAGATACTCTCTGTAGCACTTTTTTTTTTGAGACGAAGTCTCGCTCTGTCGCCAGGCTGGAGTGTGGGGGCGTGATCTCGGCTCACTGCAACCTCCGCCTCCCAGGTACAAGCAATTCTCCTGCCTCAGCCTCCTGAGTAGCTGGGACTATGGGCGTATGCCACCACGCCCAGCTAATTTTTGTATTTTTAGTGGAGATGGGGTTTCACCATGTTGGCCAGGATGGTCTTGATCTCTTAACCTCGTAATCCACCCGCCTTGGCCTCCCAAAGTGCTTCTGTAGCACTTTTAAATGTATGGCTCCAAGGGATATAGTGGACTTTGATGCAGACTGGTTTCTTTTCTTGGTGATCCCAAAGGAAACTGCATATTGCAGCCTTTCGGTCCCAAGAGCTGTCCCCTGTCTGATGAGCTCCTGGATACTGCACCTGGGTCACTCAGGGTCCCCTGAGAACTCTGGCAGCAAAGTGAAGGATAAATTGAGATGGTAGGAAATTAGAATGAAAACCCACTAGGACATTCATCAGTATAGTAGCCCAGGAGAGAGATGACAGGGGACAGGAGCTAAGACTAAGGCTCAGGGGCATAGAAGATATAAACAAGTAAAAAGTAATTAATTAATTTGTCAACTTGTTCTTAATCAAGATACCAAATCCACTAACATAATTGGTTTAGTGATTAAAGTTTATTGCAAAATGATGGAGAATGATGTAAAACTTCTGTTTTATCCTCAACACAACTTTGATAACTCATCAAATACATGATTAGGATCTACACTTCTTAGCACTAAATCTAGGTTTTGTTTCACTTGTTTAATGATCCCTTTAAAATGAAACTTTAGGGCCAGCCACAGTGGCTCACACCTGTTATCCCAGCACTTTGGGAGGCTGATGCAGGTGGATCGCTTGAGCCCAGGAGTTCAAGACCAGCCTGGGCAAAATGGGAAAACCCCATCTCTACAAAAAAATACAAAAATTAGCTGGGCATGGTGGCGCATGCTACTTGGGAGGCTAAAGTGGGAGGATCACTTAAGCCCAGCAGGCTGAGGCTGCAGTGAACCATGAATCACATCACTGCACTCCACCCTGGGTGACAGTGCCAGACTCTATCTCAAAAATAAAATAAAATAAAACTTTAAATACAATATAAAAAAATTCACACCTAGCCAATTTTATAGGTAATTCTTTAAGCAGAAAAACAGAGCAAATGAAAAAAAAATTATCACTATGTGGAGATTTCCCATAACATTTTTTCCCTTTACTTGTGCTAGCATGAATTCATATACACTATTGGAACTCTCCTATTCAAGCAACTTAGATGTTTTTAAAAATATTTCTTCTCATTGCACAAAATTATACCTCAAAAACATGTACCATGTCTACTGAGAGCTATTTGAAAATTCTTTGGATGAAGAATTTCCCCCATCACTCAGTTTATCATAAAGTTAAATGTAAGCTTCAGTTGTCTGTTGGTATTTCATTTCATCGTTGTTTTTAAAATATGTTTGACAAGCTGTGATTCTTTCTTAATGCATGTCTCTGAAAAACAGACTGAACCCATATTGCAGAATAAATCTTATCTAATGAAACAGTCGGTTCCTCACAGGTTTTTGCTACCGACTTGGACAGTGGTTTGAACGGCCTGATTGAGTATTCTATTCTGTCTGGCAACCAAGAAGAAGCATTCCAGATTGATGCACTGAGTGGTGTGATAACAACAAAAGCGATTCTAGATTACGAGCTCACCAGCTCCTACAGGTTGGTCCAGGGTTCAGATCCATTGGCTCCATTTATTCTGCCTGCTTACTGACAACATTGCTGTTTTGTTCATAACTTCCTGTTACGTAAGCTTATTGTAAAATGTGTTATCCCTTTGATCCAACTTGTTGATATTCTCTTTGATCTACTCTTTTTGATATTGAAAATAGTCTCAGCCATTATTTGTATTTGGAAAAAAGTGATTAAAATAGCAAAACTTTAAGGTCCCTTCTAGTTCTAAGATTTTATGAATTTGTGATGCTATTAAGCACTAAATGGGGGACACTAAAAAGATAATGTTTGTGAGATGTCTAATGAACTAGAGAGCCCTCTGCAGGTGTTTGTTGTTATTGTTTTTTTAAAACGTGACGACTGAGGGATACCTTGCTTTTTGATTCTTTATTCTTGCATATGAAAGTACAACGCTGTCTTGAAGGTCCTGTTGCAGTTCTGTGTTCTAATAGAAATGATCTTATTAAACGCATACATTTAACATTAAAACTTTGTGCCTAGAGTCTAAGATATGCCAGCCTTATACAGAATTCAACAAAGGAAATAATAATAGTGTTTAAGTTTTCTTGGTGTTTAAAAAAATCAGTGCTACCAAAGACTAGACTTATACAGAGAGATAGTGATGGGATCACAATTTGTGGAAGCAAAAGCCTTTTTTTTTTCCTTTTCTGAGACAGAGTCTTATTCTGTCGCCCAGACTGGAGTGTAGTGGCACAATCTCAGTTCACTGCAGCTTCTGTCTCCTGGATTCAAGCAATTCTCCTGCCTCAGCCTTCCAAGTGGCTGGGTTTACAGCCACCTGCCACCATGCGTGGTTAATTTTTGTATTTTTAGTAGAGATGGGGTTCCACCATATTGGCCAGGCTGGTCTCAATCTCCTGACCTCTAGTGATCCACCTGCCTTGGCCTCCCAAAGTGCTGGGATTACAGGCTTGAGCCACTGCGCCCAGCCAGCAAAACACTGTTAAGAATTCTAAAATATCCATGAGTGGGGACTGCTTAAAGAATTAGCAAAACCCTGGAATAGAATACTATGAAATACCATGAAGCTGATTTTACAAAAGAAAGAGGCATAACTCTATGTGCCGATGAGGATGGAGCTCTAGGATATGTGACTAAGTGAAGGCAGTAACGAGACCCACTACCATGCTTATCCAGCATGCCTGTTTGAGTAAAAGCACACCCGCATATTGAGAATGCTTCTGGAAGAAAATATAAGAAACCGTTCACCTTATTTGTCTCTGGAGAAGCAGTCAGGCAGCCTGTGGTCCAAGAGAGGCTTAGCTCTTTTACTGAACATTTTAGTATGCTTTAGATAGATGTTGTGTTTTTCGGTTTTTCCAAAAGGCCTTGCTCATACTGTATTCTATTTAATCCTCGCAAGCACCTCCTGAGGATGTTAAGGTGGGCATTTTCTTATTTGCTGATAAGGCAACAGAAATACAGTGGCTTGCTCAGGGTCATAGGATAATTTGAGGTTCAAAAGTGAACTTGCACTTAAGTATTCTGCTTCTAAGTCACAGTCTTTCCACTGTAGAGCTGCAGAGCAGACATCCTGTTTAAGGAAAACACAGGTACAGTATACCAAAGACAGTGAGTGTCAGTATGCTTCTACACCAGACTACTTTTATGTTTTATGAAAAAATTATAATATGTGCATGTGGTTGAGCAATGAGAGCTGATTAAACTGGAATATCTTACTGGCTATATTGGATTAATTACCCTCTGGAAAACCTCCCAATGCTAAAAATTTAAATGTTTAGTTTTTTGTTTAATATACTTCAAAAGTATTTTAAAAGTTTAAGACTTTATCCTGTATTAACTATTATAAATTTTAAAATAATATTTTAGCATAATAGCTATTGGTACTTATTGTTTAGATATATTAAAACCTATTCCCTGCTACATTGTTTCTATAGTAATTGTTTAAGCATGAAACTTTTCTCCTCTTCCACGGATGACTGCAGATAAATCTCAATCTAATTGAGTGATTACAAATTCAGGAATTATTAAAGGTCTGCCATGTTCTAAGAACTAAGCATTTTCTGATTTTAAGGACTTTCTGTTACAGTGTTCTTCTTACTCAATGGAACCTAATTAACAATTAAATCTAATTTCTTTCAACTTTTTCCTATTTGCGTCATGGTTTCTATGTTCACAATATTAAATTGGTCCCAATATTAAAAATGACTCTCTCCCATTGCCATGAAGAATTTAACTCTAGGCTTGAAGAAGCAGGAACTGAGAAAAGTTGAACCCCCTACACACTGCCACAGAGAGATACACACAGGTAACAACACACACACACACACACTCTCTCTCTCTCTCTCTCTCTCCAGCATCACCAAGGCAAGGAATTATTTTAAACCTCCTTCCTCCCTGGGCTCTCCCCACACCCCGCCCCCCACCCCGCACAACACCTGCTGTGGCATGGCTTCTATCCTTTAGTGCTTTTCTTGATATTTAAGGCAATAAGAAATAAAGGAGGATTTTCCCTAGTCTGCTACACCTTTAGTGAATGTTCTGGAAACAGTCTCATTTAGCTTCCAACTTTTTACTTTTGAAGTATTGCTATTTTGTCTGATCGAGGAAAGTATCCCAATTCCAGCCCTTTGTTTTAAAATATAAAACATTTCCTCAAAAAAATAGAGCTACCATACAATCTAGCATTCCTGCTCCTAGATGTATACCCACTAAAAAGAAATCACTATATCGACAATTTATTGCAGTAATATTCACAATAGCCGAGGTTTGGAAGCAACCTAAGTGTCCATTAACAGGTGAATGGATAAAGAAAATGGGATACATATACACAATGGAGTATTATTTAGCCATTAAAAGAAAAAAAGAAGAATGAGATCCGGTCATTTGCAACAACATGGATGGAACTGGAAGTCATTATGTTAAGTGAAATACAAACATCACATGTTCTCACTTATTTGTGGGAGCTAAAAATTACAACAAATGAACTCAAGCAGATAGGGAGTAGAAGGATGGTTACCAGAGGCTGGGAAGGGTCAGGGAGGATTGAGGGCAAGTGGGAATGGTTAAAGATTACAAAATATAGTTGGAATGAATGAATAAGACCCAGTATTTGCTGGTACAAAAGGGTAACTATAGTCAAAAATTTAATTATACGTTTAAAAATAACAAAAAGATTATAATTAAAAATAACTAAAAGATTTGGATTGTTTGTAACACAAAGGATAAATGCTTGAGGTGATGGATACTCCATTTACCCTGATGTAATTGATACACATTGCATGCCTGTATCAAAATATCTCATGTAACCCATAAATGTATACACCTACTATGTACCCACAAAAATTAAAAATTGAAAAAGAAAAGATTTCCTATTATATTCTTCAATTTCCAAGACTTGGGCAATTTAACCTTTAATTAGTGATGCATTTTTTAAAATAATAATAAATTAAAACATAAAATGGAAAAAGGGAGATAGTATCAGTCATGATTCTACTAAATATGAATGTATTAAATAATTTTTAGTTTTCATATTAAGCCACATAGAAGAAAATTCAGTGGAAATTCGATGACAAATTATAAAATAGGCATTAATTTCTGTTTGATGTTTATGAATATACAAAAAGCTATTTATCAAGCATGAAGCTGGGGACACAAAGACAAATGCAAGAGCCCTTGTTCTCAAGGAGTTTGAAAATCGAGTCCTGGCCAGGTGCAGTGGCTCATGCCTGTAATCCTAGCACTTTGGGAGGCTGAGGCGGGCAGATCACCTGAGGTCAGGCGTTTGAGACCAGCCTGGTCAACATGGCAAAACCCCGTCTCAACTAAAAGTTCAAAAATTAGCCAGGCATGGTGGCGGGCTCCTGTAATCCCAGCTACTCGGGAGGCTGAGGCAGGAGAATCGCTTGAACCCGGAAGGTGGAGATTGCAGTGAGCTGAGATCGCACCACTGCACTCCAGCCTGGGCAACAAGAGTGAGACTTTGTCTCAAAAAAAGAAAAAGAAAATCAAGTCCTAGTAAGATATATGGCAGAAGGCACATTAATAATCACAATAGTTTCCATTTATGGAACTCCTGCTTCACATTTATTATCTAATTGAATTCTTGTAATAGACATGATTTATAAAATAAAGAAATGGGAACTCAGAGAGGTAAAGTGGTTTGGCCAAGAATCCGAAGCTAGTACATGGTAGAACATGATTCTAGCCGATGTGAATGATTGCAGGGCTTATTTTATGATGTGAATGAATCTTAAAAGTATATGCATGTACATTTACAAAATAAATAAATATTCAAGGCAAGCAGTTATTTTCAGGAGCAATGCTAAACTCAGTGTATTCTCCATTGAATGCTCATTATGACTGGGAGAAAGCAATTTTACAGGCAACGTAGGAAATGGACTGAGATGTTAATTATCTTTTTCAAAATACACAATTCATGAAAAGCAAAGCTGGGATTGGAATCCCAGTCTATTGATGCCCTGAGAAAAAGGGAATAAAAAGGATTTGGGGCCAAAGGCACGGGAACGTGAAAGTGTTTGGTATGTTTGGAAGTAGCAAGTAGTACAGCACACCAAAGAAGCAACTAAGTTTGGGGTAATGAAAGAGGCAGCAGGCAAGTTTTGAAAGACTTTCTGTGTCTCGTAGTGGAAACTAAACATTATTCTGTGAACTACATACAACTATAAGCAGTTGAACGAATGTTTGTATCTTTATTTCTAAAGACACCTCATAATGGATGCACTGCAAGAGAGAGAACTAGCTTAGGCCAACAAGCTGAGCTAGACTGCAGCAATGAAAAGTCTGTTACATGGATGGTGCAGTGGGGACAGAAGGAAGATACATACTAAAATATTGATTCAAATATGGAATCCATAGGAACTTGATCACCAATTGAATTTATCGAGCAAGAAAAGAGATAGAATGGTTCTTTTTCTGCTTAGGAAAGGAAGGGAGAGGAACAGATGGAGATTATGATTTTTTTATTCTGGGTATTTTGAGGTGGAAGGACCAATACAAGAACAAAAGTAAAGATACCCTTTTGGCAATTGAAAATAATAATCTGTAGCTCAGGGTAGGGGTCTTCACTCAAGATATGGATTTGAGATTCATCCAGGGAAAATGTGTAAAATGAATTACCTAGGGAGAATATGTAAAATGAGAATTGAGGAGTGGTGACTTATCACCACCTCAGGATTCGGCCGATAAATAGGAACTGCAAAATATATTTAGGGAATAGAAAGATCTAGAAAAAGATAATGTCATGGAGACCAAGGGGAGAGGTTGGGCTGAAAGAAGACTTCAAAATATGTTTGCATTAGAATCACTAAAAATACAGTCATCTCTCAGTATCCATGAGGTATTGGTTGTGAGACTCTCCACTGCATCCCTCCCACTCCCCCATCCAAAAATCCATGGATGCTCACATTTCTTATATAAAATGGCATAGTATTTGCATATTACCTATGCAATCCTCTCATATAGTTTATTTTTATTTATTTATTTTAATTTCAAATTTTATTTTAGTTACAGGAGACATGTGTGCAGGTTTGTTACATAGGTGTGTTGTACTATGTAGTGAGCACAGTACTCAGGTAGTTTTTCAACCCATGCACCCTCCCTCCCTCCCCCTCAGCAGTTCACAGTGTCCATTATTCCCATGTTTATGTCCATGCATGCTCCATGTTTAGCTCCCATTTGTAAGTGAGAACATGAGCTATTTTGGTTTTTTGTTTATGTGTTAATTTGTTTAGGATTATAGCCTCCATCTCTATCCATGTTTCTGCAAAAGACATGATTTTATTCTTTTTTATGGCTGCATAGATCACATTTTCCTTATCCAATCCACCATTAACAGGCACCTAGGTTGCCTTTTTGCTATTGTGAATAGCGTGGTGATGAACATATAAATGCATGTATTTTTTGCTCTAATGATCTACCTTCCTTTGGGAATATACCCAGCAATAGGATTGCTGGGTCCAATGGCACTCTGTGGTAAGTTCTTTGAGAAATCTCCAAACTGCTTTCCACAGTGGCCGAACTATTTTACATTCCCAACAATGTATTAATGTTCCCTTTTCTTCACACTCTCACTAGCATCTTTGTTTTTTGACTTTTTAATAATAGCCATTCTGACTGGTATCTCATTATGTTTTGATTTGTATTTCTCTGATGATTAGTGATCATGAGCATTTTTTTATATGTTTGTTGGCTGCTTCTGTGTCTTTCTTTGAAAAGTGTCTGTTCATGTCCTTTGCCCAATTTTTAATGGGATTATTTGGGTTTTGCTTGTTGATTTAAGTTCCTTGTAGATTCTGGATATTAGACCTTTGCCAGATGCATAGTTAGTGAATATTTTCTCTCATTCTGTAGGTTGTCTCTTTACTCTGCTGATTATTTCTTTTATTGTGCAGAAGCTCTTTAGTTTAATTAGATCCCATCTGTCAATTTTTGTTTTTTGTTACAATTGCTTTTGAGGACTTAGCCAAAAATTTCTTGCCAGGGCCAATTTCAAGAAGGGTATTTCTTAGGTTTTCTTCTAGGATTTCTATAGCTTGAGGCCTTATATTTAAATCTTCAATTCATCTTCAGTCAATTTTTGTATATGGTAAAAGGTAAGGATCTAGTTTCATTCTTCTGCATCTGGTTAGCCAGTTATCCCAGTACCATTTATTGAATAGGGAGTGCTTTCCTCATTGCTTGTTTTTGCTGGCTTTGTCAAAGATTGAATGGTTGTACGTGTGTGGTTCTATTTCTAAGTTTTCTATTCTGTTCCATCACTCTGTGTGTTTGTGTTATATCAGTACCATGCTATTTTCATTACTGTAGCCTTATAGTATAGTTTGAAGTCAGGTAATATGGTGCCTCCGGCTTTCTTCTTTTTACTTAGGATTGAGTCTGTTTAGGCAGAAAAGAAGTATTCAATAGATACATAAAGATTAAAGATTTTGATCTAAGCATATTTTCTTAATTTGATTTTTTATTATTATCAAAGTAATATATACATTTTTTAAAAAAATCAAATAGTGTATAGAGTGTAGATGAAAGTCAGCAACCACTGCCTCACCTCTCCCAAGGCTAAAGCCCTCCAGAAGCAGACACTATTAACTGATTTTCTCTGATATTATAAATACAAGTATGTAATAATTTATAACTTTAAACATTATCTCTTAACTTCCTGTTATAATAGATATAGGTGTAAAATCCTTACTTTCTCACACTCCAACTCTTTCTATATTCATATCACTGTTTTTCATTTAATCAGTAATTAGTGTTTATATTATATGAATCTATTCATGTTTACTTCATAGTCAAATCATATTATATGTTTTTTTCCTTTTATCACTACTCCTCAAGCCCCCAGTTTCTTTCCTGAGTGCCCAATTGGCTATATCTATGCACTGAATGCCTTGTAAATATCCCATAAGCTCTGTTATCTGCATCTAATTTATCCTCTAACTGCCTTTCATCAAATATTCTATCAAGCCCTCTTTTTTCATGAAGACCTGGTTCCTACTGCTTTATGCCCTCTCCATCTAGCATGAACAGTTTGGGTTAATAAACCTATTGCAAGGCTGAGATCCGATAACTTTGGTTTATAGCTCTCCGAGGTCAGGCCAGCACTTCCAGATCCCATGTCTTTCTCTTCCAATAGGTTTGCAGGAAAAGGTGCCACAGAAGTAAATTATCTGAGCCTTTGCATGTCTGAAAATGTCTTTATTCTACTCTTTCATGTAATATATGCAATGGACAATACAGAAGTTGAAAGTATCTTTTAGAATTTTGAAGGCATTGCTGTGTTATTCTCTGAAACCCAGTGTTGCTATTAACAAGTCTAGTGCCATTCTAATTCTTTTTTTTTTTTTTTTTTTTTTTTTTTTTTTTTTTTTGAGACGGAGTCTTGCTCTTCACCCAGGCTGGAGTGGTGTGATCTTGGCTCAGTGCAACCTCTGCCTCCCAGGTTCAAGCGACTTTCCTGCCTCAGCCTCTCAAGTAGCTGGGACTACAGGCACCCACTACCACACCCAGCTAATTTTTATATTTTTAGTAGAGATGGGGTTTCACCAAATTGGCCAGGCTGGTCTCGAACTCCTGACCTTAGCTCAGTGCAACCTCTGCCTCCTGGTTCAAGTGACTTTCCTACCTCAGCCTCCCGAGTAGCTGGGACTACAGGCGCCCGCTACCACACCCAGCTAATTTTTATATTTTTAGTAGAGATGGGGTTTCACCAAATTGGCCAGGCTGGTCTCGAACTCCTGACCTTATTATGATCCACCCGCCTCAGCCTCCCAAAGTGCTGGGATTAAAGGCATAAGCCACTGCGCCTGGCCACCATTCTGATTCTTTTACTTTGTATAATTTTTCCTTCTCTCTAGAAATTTATAGGTTATACTTATCATCCATAGTATTTTAAAATGTGATTGCATATTTTGATGTGGGTTTCTCCTTGTGCTGTGTATTCAGTGTTCACTTTTAATAAAAAGACATATTTCTTTTAATTTTCTTGTATTATTGAAAAGGAAAATTCATTGAAAATTTCCTCCCCTTTTTTTAGTTTTGTTTTGTTGTTTTGCCCTGTTTCATTTTCCTGAATCCTATTCAATTAGGTATTGGATTGCCTAGATGAATTCTTTGTTAGTTATATTTTATTTCCTACTTTCCATTTATTGTTTGTGTGTGGGTTTAGTTTTTGTTGTTTTATTTTGGGAAGATATTTCCTGAATTTTAATCTTCTAAAATTTCTTTTTTATTTTCTAATTAAAAATTGAGAGGATATTATATATTTGTTTTTACTTCTAAAAGCTCTTCTTTGATGTTTGACTTTTTAAATAATATCCAACTCTTGTTTTATGCACATGTTGTCTTCTGATATCTCTCCAAGGTATTAATTAGAATTGTTTTAAATTTTCTTTTGTTCCTTTCAATATCTGTTTCCACTGGGTTCCTTTTTTTTATTTGTCTATATTGAGCTCTCTTTTTCATGCTGAAGGCTTTCTGTAAATAAGTGTTGATTCTTAGATATAAGTGAGGCAATTTCAAAGTCATTAGAACCTCTGAGTGGGCTAGAGGGACTTGACTAGCACTCTTCACTTTCAAATGTACCACAGGGGAAGTCGACTATTTTTCAGGATGACATACAAATGGCAGTATATGGAGTTCACTTTTCTTTGGGAGGGGACTTTCAGTTCTCCAGAGAAGGTCTTTCAATATTACTAACCCCAAGTATGAACCAAAGGCATTCTTTGGCTGAGAATGCAGAGTAATGGGCAAGAGGGACAAAACTACCCTGTATTTAAAATAACATAAATAATCTTTCTATTTAAATAATCTGAATTTAAAATATTCTTCCTATTTTTATCTCAATACCTCACTGCAATATTTGCCATGTCTTGAGCCTCTCCTTGGTGACCTGGGAGCAACTCTGCTCCTCACGTATCTTTATGCTCCTCTGAATGCATTTTAAAAGACTTCTTTTAGAGTGGTTTTAGGTCCACAGCAAAATTGAGAGATGGTGCAGAGATTTCCTGTATATCCCTGCCCAAACACATGCACAGCCTCCCCTGTTATCAAAATCCCCACCAGATTGGTGCATTTTGATGAAGCTACACTGACACATCATTATCACTCAGATTTACAGTTTTCAGTGGGATCCACTCTTGGTGTTGTACATTCTGAGTGGATTTTAATCTCTGATTTCCTTTGGCCCACTCATCTGCAAACACTCTTCAATCTGCTTGTATCTTCCAGAATTTGTTGATATTTCTCATTCATTTCACCCACTAATATCTTCCCTCATTTTTTAGCTTTATGGACTTATAACTTATTATAAAAGGTTTTTGATATCATTTTAGAAGAATCTTGAGAGGAAGGGAAGATAAAACCTGTGTAGTCAGCTTGCTGTCTTTAACCAGAAATCATAGTTTTTCTTTTCATAGTTATTTCTACTGGTGGCTGATATTTTTTTTTTCAGAATTTCAGAAGGATTAGAAAATTCCTGCTAGACGTTTAAGATATAATTGAGAGTTTTGAAAAATCCTCTACCAACAAGTTTAGTACTTGTTAAGACAATCAAAGAGATCCTTCCTGGTCAAAAGCCTTATTTAAAGTTTAACATGGTAAAAGAAGCTTCCCATTGTTGATAGAACAGGAAAAAAATGCTCTGAATTTAAAAGGCTTAGAATGGGCCTGTTCTAAATCTGGTCAGTTTCATTTATTGTCTGTAGTGATAATAGTAATCAGGGCAACAGTTGTGGAACATGGAGTGAGTTGGACAGGCTACAACCAACAGTTTCACAACTGCGAAAGAGCCATCATAGATGGCTTGAAGTCTTGCAGAGGTTGTGTACAGAATATCTGCACATCTACCTTCATATTTTTTTATTTGTTCTTCAAGTCATTGAGGAACCTTTTCCTTTCCCATTTATTTTGATGCTAAACAACATATTTCTCTCCATATCAAAGAATCTCACTTCTTTTTAATCTGACAAGGCATTATGTAGGATGCCTGAAGTTGTAACATTGTGAAAATAATGGTAATTATGGCTACAGTAGAAGAGTTGATAGAAACTTAACTTTGATGTCTTGGCTGAGACTTTAGATGACATTGGAAGGGGCAAGCAGCAGGGGAGAAAGGAGTATGAGTTGATTATTTTTGGTAAAATATTTCCATATGTATCTGACTGACATTCATACTAACAAAATAAACTTTCAGCATATAATTATTCCAGAAGTTAGGCTCCAGAAATGTGAGATTCAGGTGGTTGTTCTACTAATATTCCAACTCTGATAATGCAGAAGGCAGCCTGTGTTCTTCATGAATAGTAGATAAGCCCTGATGATTTAATATTAAGTGGAATTCAAACCAAGAAGGAGTTGATGTTTATTTCATGTCATTTTTAAATTTAGGATTGGAAAGAGAAAGAACATTCATCAAGTGAATGTTCTAACAATGAAAACAAAGTGAAAGTGTATCAACTTTGAAGACATAGTTTCTTAAAAGGTGGTTCCCACAACTAGCTGAGACTAATTCCACTTCTGAAATAAAGAGCATCTTCTAATTAATAACTCATTTTATTACTCAGCCACCCTCCTAGCCTTCATCGTGTTCAGAGGGGAGTGAAAAATAAGCCAATAATTATACATTAGAATGTGATATATACACAATAAGAGAGGTATGTTCAACAAGTATCATGAAGCACAGGTTTCCAGTTGACCAACACATGAACCTGAATCCCAGCTCTGTC
Source organism: Homo sapiens (assembly GCF_000001405.40). NCBI lineage: Eukaryota > Metazoa > Chordata > Mammalia > Primates > Hominidae > Homo > Homo sapiens. Next base: position 154,244,281 of record NC_000004.12, on the reverse strand, counting down.
ATATAATGTATGTATAACCTTGGGGAAATCTTGAGAAACCAACATTCAATACTTACTATAGAAAAGCAAATAAGGCGGCTCCCTGCCCATAAGAAACTTACAGAAGAGGCAGACAAATATGTTATTAAGAAAAAAGAGTGATGATTGCTATGGCAGAAGAATGTACAGGGTGCTATGCGAATACATAAAGGTGCATTTAAATCAAATGAAAGGTCCATGACAACTTCGCAGAGATGTGAGCTTTGAAAAACCAAGGTGTAAGGGCTGAGATTCCATGTAAAAGCAAGAACAAAAAAGTTTATGTGAACATGTTCAGGGGTTTGGATAACCTCTTAGAGACATGGAGAGCCAAAGAAGAGTTTTAAATAGGGAGGTCAGGTTTTCAAATTAGGATCTTAGTTAGAGCAATTGAGCGCAATATAGAGGGTGGATGGAACAAGAGGAGACTCACAGCAGGGAGGTTGGTAATTTATCAGGTCCTCCTGGTGAGAAAGGATACAATACATATAGAGCATTCCAGGTAAAAATGGTGAGGGGCTGAGGCTACAGGGGACTGGCTTGTCCAGGTTTGCCTGGGACTTTAGTGGATGTAGCACTGAAAGTCCCATGTCCAGTTTGCCTGGAGTATCTTGGTTTTAAAAACACTGCAAGTCTCATGTCCCAGGAAATTCTTCACTCCCAGACAAAGCAAAATGTGCTGATTACCATACATGAGGGCTCTGAAGGTAGGAGTGAAATGGCTGGGGACACTAATCCAAGTGACATCCAGGAGGTAATACCGATAAGATACATAATTAGTTGAACATTGGAAGGGTGGTGAGAGAAAGGGAGAAGTTGAAGACAGTAACAAGGTTTGTAGTTTGTTTGATGGACAAGCTCATTGTAGCATCATCCAAGAGAGATTAAATTAGTCTATGTAAATTCTTTCAGATCATGGACTTTTACCTCTACTTCACAATCCTAGCCAATCATACATCTTCTGTAAGTGTGTTCATCATAGCGGTGTCCTGTCTTATTTCTAGCATTTCGATTGATTTGCTATTTGGATCCAAAAATATCAGTACAAAGCAATCTTTTAGTGGCTACATCTTTTGTTGGTTCAGTAAGATGGAAATATGTAGCAATATCCAGACCAGGGCATGGCAAGGTGGAAACAGTCTACTTATCCAAAGTACAGATATTGGTGTTTCTATTTTTTAAGATTATTCTTCACAGGACAGGATTGAATTTTACAGTCTGGCTCTCCGAAATGGTCCATTTTGACATTAATGCCTCATGATCCCTGGCAGCTTGCTGGATTTGGTTCTCTGAACATGCCAAAAATAAATAAATTTCAGAGTACCATTCTTATGAAATACATTTTAAATGATGCCATTTAGAAAATCCAAGAGAAAAATAAAAGTAGCTAGTCAGCTCATTTTAAAATTTTCAACTAGATATTTGATATTTATGTTGTTTTTCTAATTCCTGGATGATGAATCACATTCTTTGATTCTTTTTCCAAACCAGCTTGATTGTCCAAGCCACAGATAAAGGGATGCCCAGGCTTTCTAATACGACTGTAATCAAGGTACAGGTGACTGATATAAATGACAATGCCCCAGCTTTTCTCCCCTCTGAAGCAGTGGAAATTACAGAAGGTAAGTGTGACAATTTGGCATAGTGGTTTTGATTAACTTGTATAATATCATTTACCATTTTCTTTAGCCAGACACTGTATTAACATGAGTGCTAATCCTCAACAACCAAGCAAACTAGATCATTTTTGTCTTCATTTTGCAGAACAAAAAAATGGATGATCATAAGTTAAATATTAAATGTCAAAGGAGTAAAATGTCAAAGCAAGTCCCCATGCTCCAACCATCATCCCTTATAGTATCTGTTTATAATGCAGACATTTCCTACAAATTATATCTACTCTATGAAGAAGCATATTTTGTTGACTGTGATAACCATTGTGAACCTCCTCTAAGAAGAATCAGCATTCATAACTCTGTCAGTCTTTTCAGGATACGAACAACAACTAATTAGTGAAGTGAATTAGATGTTTATTGCACAAAGCCATCATTTTTCCCAGAATAACCTTATCTTCAACGTTTGTACCACACTAATGGTAGAGGTTGAAACTAGAAATTTTTAAGTGAGATGCTGGTTAACCTTCATTATTTGGGTCTGTGGGTTATACAATGGTCCTCTAGTCTGTGGACCCAAAGTTGTCCATGGTCAATGGCTGCGTTGGGGAAACATAACCTAAGTCTTTATAGTTGAAGATGAAAATAATGGTGACCCTCGCTTGCCTCTCTACTTCACTCGTAATACGACATTAATTCCTAAAATGTTTCTAACATTTTATTATGTTCACTTTCTAAACAAATTACAACCATAACCTCTCACAGAGGGAAATATTCCAGACATGTCTATGCATAGAGATATCTACAAATATTACAACCTACAAATAAAATAAATTCTCCAGTTTTGCCTTTTGCATATTTGATATATTTTCATTTGATTTTATTGAAGGATCTATTTTTCAGCACATGCAATTAGTGTTAAAATATAGCAATGGGCCTAATATAAATATATCACAAGAAGAAACTACATAAATCAAAACATACTGAATAGGGTACGGTGTGGTTGGTGCACATTGAGAGTGTTCAAGCTTGAAAATGGAAAATTATGGGTTTCATATACAATGGAACTATTCTGAGCATCTTGGCATATTCTTTCTAGCTGTACCATATCTGTAAGATTAAAAACAAAGTCCCTTTCACGGGCTGTTTAGGCTACAGAACATATGTGGTGAGTGAGGCATTGAACATTTCATCTATTTTGTAATTTTTTGGTGAATAATATTTGAGATTTGCTTTCCTCACTAGTACTATGTAGACTTTGTTTTTCTATAGTCTTAATAATTTTGAGAGTCAGATTTAAGAAAAGGAAGCAGTGTGTGCACCACTCCAAAATAAATAATTGTACAAAAATAAATATAAGGAAATAAGTATCTAATTCGGACATTAGTGCCCAAATATTTAAACCTGGCCTGTTTTTGAAAATGCCATGTTTTGTATTAATGTCCTGAGTAATACCTTTCATCCCATTCATATCCCCCATGAAGATATGATTTTGATACAGAAAGTGTATATTATAAATAAGTGGCTTAGAATGTTTCTTGGTACTGGAATTGTGTTGTAAGCATATAATGAAAATAATGTAATATAAAAATTGAATATACCCTACCTCCTCAATTCCCTACTCAGTGGTAAATTTTCACTTTTATTGGTCTCATAAATTCTTCAGAGTTTTTGTTCAGTGCATAATGAGCTTTGTATGAGAAATCAAGCCAAGAAAGAGCAAATCATATTGGACTTAGAATAAAAATACTTGGATGGAACTACTAAAGAAATGTATTTCAAAGGATGAATTTTAATGGAGACTGACACTGGTCATGACTATTTCAGATTCTTTGCCTGGTGTAATTGTGACTCATGTGTCAGTTCATGATGTGGATTTGAATTCAGCTTTCATATTCAGTTTTGCCAAAGAGAGTAATCCTGGAACCAAGTTTGCTATTGATCAGAACACTGGAGTGGTGGTGTTGGTGAAAACATTGGATTTTGAAGAAATGACTGAATATGAGCTGCTCATCCAAATTTCTGATTCAGTGCACTACACAGAGGGAGCACTTGTAGTCCGTGTGCTGGATGTCAATGATAATCCACCAGTGTTTTCTCAAGATTTCTATCAGGTAAAGGGCTTAAAGAGATGCCGAAACCAAAGCCAAAACTAGAAAGAATAGAGAATAATGTAAGTCTTCCATCGCCGATAGACTAATTCAGATAGACAGCATTCACTGTTTGTAGTGCCTAAGTTAACGCTGCGGGTTTTACACTTAATATCACGGAGTCTATAAGTACATATGGAAATGAATGTCTCATTCGGTTTAGTTTACTACATATGTATTTTTTTTTTTTTTTAGTTTTTAGAGGTTGTAGTCCAGTTTGTCATGACAATTGGAACCTGCCAAATATTTGCAAACCACTGATAAGACTGTTTGCATTATCTGCAGTTAATTTGGGAAAATTCTTTCTTTCATAGGCATATTTTTGGAATGCATTGATTAAAATTTTACAGAAAAAAAATCACGAACAAAACTATAAAGTGGAAATTTTAGCTTTTAGAGCATAATATATGTTTATAGAAGTAAGGGCAAGGATAGCATTCAACTCAATACTTGCAAATGGACTCCAGAACTTTTGAATGTAGCAAATGCAAGATTTAAGTGTAAACACAAGGGGAGGGTAACCTAAGTAATGATCCCCTGTGAAGGCTTGCTTGAATTAATGCCATGCATGTAATGGAATAATATATTAGTGAATGTATTAACTATTTTCTGCCTCATAGAAATAGTTTAGAAGAACTTTTTTTCATAGTAAAAAAAACTGAATAAAATTATTTTTAAAACTTAGTTTTTCTGGCCAGGCGTGGTGGCTCATACCTGTAATCCCAGCACTTTGGGAGGCTGAGGTGGGCGGATCACCTGAGATCAGGAGTTCAAGACCAGCCTGGCCAACGTGGTGAAACCCCATCTCTACTAAAAATACAAAAATTAGCCTGGTGTGGTGATAGGTACCTGTAGTCCCAGCTACTCTGGAGGCTGAGGCAGGAGAATCGCTTGAACCCAGGAGGCAGAGGATGCAGTGAGCTAAGACTGCGCCACTGCACTCCAGCCTGGGCAACAGAGCAAGACTGCATCTCAAACAAAACAAAACAAAACAACACCTTTTTTTCTGAATCCAGGGACTATTCACACAATCTTTTTAATATGCCAATTCCATAAATTAATATGTCTAACAAAGTCAGGTTGTATTGTATGGTTTCCATAATCAAAATGAATAAAATGACCTCATGTTCTGTCCCTGTTGGTGAAAATACCTTCAGCCTTTAAGCACAATGTCCCTATTTTTCTCTTTTTCCCTCAGGTCACAGTTCCTGAATCAATACCTGTGGGGTATTCAGTGCTGACTCTGTCAGCCACAGACTTAGAAAGCAATGAGAACATTTCTTACAGAATTCTATCCTCTTCTAAGGAATTCTCCATTGATCCTAAGAATGGTGAGTTATTTATAATTGCATTAATGCTCATAGGTTTGGGTTTCAAAGTAGAAACCTGAAATAACCCTTTCTAAATGCCTCTATAAAAGTTCCCCACCTCCCCACCCCGCATGGAATTATAAGCACGACTGTTTCATTACTCTTCACATGAAGTGCTGCGATAGCAAATGCCAGTGTTATTTCTCTTCTCCAACATCTCAGTGGCTGGAAAGCAAATGTCACTGTTTAAATGCTGGTAAATGCTCACAAATTCAGAGACCCCAGTATAATAAACACCCAGTTGCATCCGTCCAACCAAGCACAGTTCAGGCAATTATCCCAGGATTCAGCAAGAATCAAAATGATGTTGAAGGGATTAAGTTAGTGCTGAAGACTTCATATTACTAGAGTCTGGATGCTTTCTTCCCAAGCCAAGTTAAAAAAAATCAGTAATAGCATTATATGTTCAATAAGCACAAGAATAATTTTAAAAGGAAAATTATTTAAGCATCTCTACCAACTGGAAACCACTGTGGTGTTTTGGTTTATTTGATGCTTCCCAAGGCTTTTTGTCTTTTTATCAGAGACCAAGACATTCGTGGTTGTGAAATGCCTTCAGGCAAGTGATTCTACATTCAATTAAACAGTATATAGAGAAAGTTGAACAGTGAGTGGACATTTAATTTAATTTAAAAGCTAAATTTTGTAAAGATGAATAAGTAGCAAAACAATGTCCCTAGCAGAGCATACTAGAAAATAACAGGGCCTGGGAGACATCACACTCTGTGTTCCCCATCTCTATCCACCATTGCATCATTTCACAAGTGAGAGTTCATTTAAAAATTAACCTTGGGATTACCTGAAAGGGGAATTTAGTCCCAAAATACCAGCATGAAGCCCACCGGGTGTTGTAAATGGAGAAGTACGTCCTGTATCATGCTGCCTGTGGATGAACGATTACTGCATGATTACAAACGTATCAGGAATTTGGCTCTTCTATTCTTCTCTCTGTATCCCCACCCCACCCCCCCACCGTCTTTTCTCTCTCTGTCTGTCTCTCTTTCTGTAGTCTCAGATGATGGCAACTGCCACCCCGGCCACAGCAAATCACAGTGTGCAAGGCAGTTCTTCTGAGCACTCAATCCTTAGCAACACTTTTACTTGACATGTGCTATTGACAGATTTTGCACTGAGCTATTGATTCAAATATTTTTAAAACATTAAATGTTTAAAACATTAAAGGCAATGTTAAAAACATTAAATGCAATGTTTAAAACATTAAACGCACTAAGCTATTGATTCAAATATTTTTAAAACATTAAATGATGGCCGATTTAGTTCATGGTGGGACTCTAACTGAAACATGGCATTTAAATGTCAGCATTCTGTATTCTTTCTTAGTGACCATCCTTAAGACATATTTATCTTAAAAATGGTTTAACACACACATTTATAAAAATTAAATATTTCTATATTTAGTACAATAAACTTTATCAACTACATTTCAGCAATAAGGGAAACATCGACTTGCATGATCTGTAGGAAAGCCCATCTCTCTAATTAAGCAATAGTATAATAGTAACTCAGCATTATCATTTTTACTGCTTTCATTTGGCTTGAATATCAACAAGTATTTCCAGAATAAGTATCTTTATGCCAGAATATCTTTATACATGTGTTTGTGGGTAGTAGAATGGGGTATAAATTTTACAAACAAAAATATTTTTTAAGAATAGTGGAACAACTTACTATACAAAAACAAAATTCAGAGGAATTTGTGGCAACAGCAACCTCAAGCAGCACACATATTTCACAGAGTGAATGTCATGAATATTATTTCTGTATCTTACATGTTATAAACATATAAATACAATAATTTGTATTTCTATTTGGAGTCATTGTTCATTGTGACTTAACAGATCTAACAAAGAATTAAACACATATTAGTAGACATTGGATAGTCAACTGCCGATTAAATGGATCATCAAAACTGCACCTCACAGTGTTGAAATACTATGTCTTATTTTTCAGGCACAATATTTACTATCAGTCCCGTATTACTTCTGGATACAATATCAACAACTCAATTTCTTGTGGAAGCCAGTGATGGTGGAAATCCTGACCTGAGAGCTCTTACTTTAGTGGAGATAGGAATAGAAGATATGAACAATTATGCCCCTGAATTCACAGTCAAATCCTATAATCTTAGCCTAAGTGAGGATGCTCTGGTTGGAAGCACGCTTGTTACATTTTCAAACATCGACCATGACTGGACCCGTGAAAACACATATGTTGAATATTCCATCATCAGTGGTAATTCACAGAACAATTTTCATGTGGAAACTAAGTTCTTTCATTCAGAATATCCTTATAAGCAAGTCGGTTATCTTGTGTTGCTTCACAGTCTGGACAGAGAAGCAAGTGCTAGCCATGAGCTTGTCATTCTGGCATCTGACAGTGGCTGCCCTCCATTGAGTTCCACAGCTGTCATATCAATACAAGTACTTGATGTCAATGACAATCCCCCAAACTTCAGCAGCCTGAGCTATCACACCCATGTCAAGGAAAGCACCCCTCTAGGGAGTCACATCACTGTGGTCTCAGCAAATGACCGTGACACAGGGTCACATGCAGAAATCATCTACAACATCATCTCTGGAAATGAGAAGGGACATTTTTACTTAGAAGAAAACACTGGAGTTCTTTATTTGATTAAACCTCTGGATTATGAAAAAATGACAAAATTCACCTTAACTGTCCAAGCTTCAGATGCAGAAAAGAAACATTTTTCTTTTGCAGTTGTGTTTGTCAGTGTCCTGGATGATAACGACCATGCACCTCAGTTTATGTTCTCAAGCTTCAGCTGTATTGTTCCAGAAAATCTGCCTATTTCCTCTACCATATGCTCTATAAATGCTCTGGATTTTGATGCTGGTCCGTATGGAGAATTGACCTATTCTATTGTATCACCCTGTTTTCTCACTCATGGAATGTCTTATGATCATGATCTCTTCCTCATTGACCCTTTGACAGGGGATATTCATGCTAAGCAAATCCTTGACTATGAAAATGGCAATAAATACTGCCTCACAGTCCAAGCCAAAGACAAAGGTGATGCAACTGCCTCCTTAGTGGTCTGGGTGGATATTGAAGGGATAGATGAATTTGAGCCCATTTTCACTCAAGATCAGTATTTTTTCACCCTCCCAGAAAAGAATAAAGACAGACAGTTGATTGGCAGAGTGGAAGCCTCAGATGCAGATGCTGGTATTGATGGAGTCATTCTTTACTCCCTTGGAACCTCATCTCCTTTCTTTTCAGTAAATAAAACCAATGGAAATATTTATTTGATTAGAGCCCTTCCCCTAATAAAAAGTCAACTCAACAAAGAAGACACCTTGGAAATGAAAATAATCGCTCATAGTCCCAAATCAGATTCCAAGTTTGCATCTTGCACTGTTTTTGTGAATGTGTCTTTCTCCTCTGAAGGAACACCCTTGGCAGTGTTCGCCAGCAGCTTTTCAATCAGCCTGGTGGTCTCCTTTTTAGTGTTTCTGATACTCATCTGCATTCTAATTGTAATGATTTTAAGACATAAACAAAAAGACACAATAAACAATTATGAGGAGAAGAAAACCTCATCTTTAGATGCGGACTTGAGAGTGACCCGGGATGCCAGTGTGCTCAAAGCCTTCCAGAAAACTGACGACTGCAGTAACGAGGTGGTCCCTGTGGATGCCACTCCGGAATGGTTGAGTTTAATAAGTATCATGGAGAAGGATATTGTCAATCTGTACAGACACTCAAACTCCAGTGGCCACTGTTCTGTGGAAGGAGAAACTGCAGAAGATAAGGAAATCCAGAGGATAAATGAGCATCCCTACAGAAAGTGCTCAGACTCAGCTCTGAGTGACCACGAGTCCAGGGTGCCAGACTCGGGTATCCCGAGGGACTCAGACCAGCTCTCCTGCCTATCTGGGGAAACTGATGTGATGGTGACTGCCGAAACAGCAGAAGCCAGCCAAACATTTGGGGAAGGAGATCAAGGGGAAGGCTGCAGCACCACCTGTGCTCAAAATAATGTGTTACCCCAGACAGTTCAGAAGAGAGAGGCAAAAGAGAGCATCCTGGCTGACGTTAGAAAAGAGTCTGTCTTTATTTCAGGTGATCAGGAAGTAAGGTGTGCAGCTCTTTCAACTCAGACGACCTCTGATCATGATGGAAAAGACAACTATCACTGGAATTATCTTCTTAGTTGGGAGCCCAAATTCCAACCTCTTGCCTCAGTATTTAATGATATTGCAAAACTAAAGGATGAACATTTGCATATGCCTGGCATTCCAAAAGAGAAGAAATCTTTTGTTTTTCCACCCCCTTTGATAACAGCAGTAGCCCAGCCTGGGATTAAAGCAGTCCCACCAAGAATGCCGGCAGTAAACCTGGGGCAGGTGCCTCCGAAACACCCACGCTCTCCCATCCCCTACCATCTTGGTTCTCTGCCAGAAGGCATGACTCCCAATTTTTCTCCATCTCTTTCCCTATTGACGATGCAGCCTCCTGCCTTGTCTCCACTGTTGAGAGAAGGAGAATTATTAGGAACACACATCAGTGGTACATGCCATGAACTTAAAGCAGAAGATGAAGTTCAAATATGAAACCACTGGGATGCCAAGTACCTGCTCACCATTGGTCATGAATGAATGAACAAAATGTTTTCAAGCCAGCAACTCGAGATTGGGCTCATTTTTATCTAAAAGCAAGTGATGTAATTTAGTTAGAGTTTTTAAAACTTCCCCATTAAAGTTTCTCCAATTTCTTCCAGCCTTAATGAAAAGTTATTTCCTCTTTTAATCCTTATGTGTTGCTCTCAGGACTCACATTTGTATATATTAAGTAGTGTATATTCTGTCAGACCTGTTGTCTGTATGATTAGACTTCCAAAGGACACAGTGAACTTAACTGACTGCCAGAATGTTTATATGGAAACAAAATATAGTGTACTCTGGTCACATTGCTGCTGATCACACTGCTATATCAAAAACAAACTAGTAAAGGCTAAATGGAGAATGAGTTTAGGTCAGAACATATAGCAGAGAGGGGAAGTCTAGAGGAATAAACTTTCATTTTAAGATAAAGCAATAGTTGGTGGATCTGATATATTTAGAGGAGTATTTCTCCATTTTTCCCCATATACCACACCTGTAGAGTTTAGCCATAATTGAATTTCAATGTGGAGTCTTTTGGAAAACTAATAAAAAATTCAGAAGGAAATTTGTCATAACTCTGTGACAATAGGGAGAAACAAATAGGATTTATAATGATAGGTAATATAAATAATTATTCATGATTCAATAAACCAGAAATGCATGTTCCTGATAGAGGGCCAGGATTGATACTCGCAATATTTATGTGGTTTGCTACCACCTGAAACATATTATCTTGGCCTTCTTTACAAACAGAATGGCTTTTTTTTCAGGTCTTGTCTTATAAGTAGGTGTGGGTAAAGACATTAAACTTCAAAGGTTAATTTATAGCAATGTCTTCATTTTATTTTCTTCTAGATACAGTAACTTTTTTGTGTGAAATAATTTATCCACTCAATGTCAGTTTTTAAAATTTGTGTAGATAAAAATCATGTCATTAGCTAATGATAAATCTCATAGAGTAATTTAGCAATATATTTTTAAATGAAGTTTTTTATGGAAATGTTTCTACTATAAAAGTTAAGAATAGAAGTCAGAAGTCTTTTTACCATTTGCTCACACACTTGCAGCTTTAATTTAACTGTCATTAGATGGAGCAGTTTGGCACATGGTTAAAATGACTCTGTACAATTACTATTTTAGAAATATAGCAGTGCTAGATGGTGCTCACATACAATGCTCTAGCCTTCTTTCTGATAAGCCTGGGAATCCCTCACAGATTCTCATCCCTTTCAGGAAGGTGGACAGCATCCTGACGATGGTGGTTCAGAAGTCCTCTTCCTGTGGTCAGCATGAGGGCCAGGTGTTAGGCTAACAGTTTAGGAATTCTAATGTGAAATCTAAAGGGTATCGTGTGGCTTTCTTAGTAGTTAGGATGGGCTTCTACTACAGATATAGTTCCTTTGTGTTCTTCTTCCATAGGCCTCATCTGTGAAATTTTGTGACATAATTTCTCTTTACTAAAAAATATTGCAAGGTGCAGTGTTTGATGTCTGGTTTTGTAGATAAGTAATTCTACAGCTTCCTATGCTGATATTTTCTATTATCTATCTATGCTGACTGAGATTGGGAACAAATGTATAAAGCTATATTACAAATTGTATGAAACATGAAGGTTTTTGAATAAGCCTGAAATCCTAGGAAAAATCCTTTAGGAGTAGAAAATTTAAATACTATGGGACTGATATATGATGTTTCTCCTTTTCTTCCTGGCATCTGGGGAAGAAGATTTCATGACTTATGTAAAAAAAAAACCCACACATATTTAATCATTTATGTGTTCCAGTATTTATTATCTCTGACTCTTTTGAAAACATTGCTTTGAGCATAGAAAGAAACCCTATACTATATTTTCCTAATTATATATGGAAGTTTTCTTTTCACAATAGAATTATTTCTGGAAACTAAGAACATTTTGTTGTTTTTAATTAAACAGGTTCTTCATTTACTTATGCTTAAAAAGAGTTATTCATCTACCTATTCCCTAAGTTAGTTATTTATTACTGTGATTTATTTACTCATTATGGATGTGATTCTGTATGTTTTCTAGCCATTGCATAACAAGAGAAGACATGTAATAGAGCTTTTTTACCAATATTTAATGGATTTTTAATTGATGGGTTTATCAGTCTGTATCCAGTGCCACAATGCCACCAAACAAGTACTACAAGTGGGAATGGGGTTAAAAATGTGAACACGCTGGTTAAGTGTTTGCAATAAATCGTATGTCAGCTCTTTCAACTAGAGTGCTTTTTTTCCTAAGTAAACAATATAATTTGTACATTTTTCCTTCAAGTTTAATATTAACTTGCCTCATATGTTCTGGGTTACTTTGCTGATCTATGCACTGGCTTTAGCACTCTGGAGGGGGTACAGAACTTGTTAGTGGAAAATCATATTAAGCCCCAAATTCATAAGCTATAAAATAAAAGACAGTTGTCTCTTGTGGAATTTTGGCTGCCTGATGAAATTCTGGACTTTCTTGTTGGCAGCCTTAAAAATACTGGTGTAAATCAGTACCAAATGGATATCAAAATTCCATGTCCTAGTAGTAATCATTGAATTGGCTTCCAAAACAGATTCCTGGGCAAAGAAAAAGAAAAATGCTGTATCTTTAGGGATTTGATCATTTAACTCTTTTAAAAATTATTAAAATGCACTCTACATTACTGGCTGCCTCCATGTATTCATATTCAATCTATAATAGACGTCCAGTTGAGACAGGATTTGTGTTTCTCAGCACCTTCACCTTTAGCCCTCCTTGCTGTGTTTTCTAGAAGTTATAGCAATGAAAATTAATTGTAAATTTTAGTTATTTTCATCCAAACAGACACTTTGTTACTTTTGTTCTGCCATTCTATACATACCTTAACTTTAAAAAGCAAGACATAACTAAGGATCTAAGATAATCCACTTCAAAGCAATAAAATATATGGCGTTAATATGGTCAGTGTATTCTCACGTGATATTCCAGATAAGCAAATTGAGTTTATTTTCACAGCGTGTTTTACTTGAGCTCAAAGGTATAGAGACATCTATTTGGCCATAACTGAAGGAACTTAGAATGGAAGATGGTCCTGTACAGGAGGGATACTGGGATCCAGTGGAGTTGCAGAAGATTTGCTTAGGACCCAAACGAAGCATTTCAGTGGGAGTTTTTACCCACTATAAAGATGGAAGGAGAAAAGTGAAAGAGGAAGGGAGGGGGAGAGGCAGGCAGGGACAGAAGAGAAATAGACAATTAAATCTTAAAATGAATAATTAGGACACAAGTAGAGAAATACAAGAAAGTAGATGGGTAGGGACTTTTAAAAAGTAATTTTTAGTGTATGAAGATTTTTCTGAGTCATTTGCCCTTCACAGATTCATCCTTTTGAAGAATCTCTTTTCCTCCTTCCTTTGTGTTCCTCTCAAATCTCTCTCTCCATTGTCTGACAATTTAGATGTATCAAGCTGTGAATTGAAAGCTAGATGATAATGAATGAGAATACATTTGACCATGAAAACTTGCATTTATTGTGTTTTTTTGGGGTGAATTTCAGAACAAAAGTAGGAATGATTACCGTATTTCCCACTCTACACTGGCACTGAGAATGCCACAGTTTTAAGTAGTTGCTTTTATTCACATAAACAAATAAATGGACATTCAGAAGACAGTGGGTCAGAATGTGGAATTTCATTACCTAATCTTTTTCCTGATGGCCAGTCCGTTTTTAAAATGAGTGCACGCTTGACAGTTGTGAGTTTATGTTAAAATATTACATTTTATATCACTTTTAAACCACAGTATAAAATAAGACAAGGGCATGGTCAACAGTTTGTTCTCAAACATTGTCAATTTTATTTGAATTCTGGTGCATAAATTATTCATAAATTAAATTGTTCCATATAGATCAAAGAAATTTGTCTATTAGAAACAGAATGTGGCCATCTTAGAAAGATCCAGCCTAAAGTGGCTGGAGTATCAAACTATACCTTTCTCTTATAAACTCAGAACTTGGCTATTTGATGACAATTAACACTTCCTACTGTTTTGGTCTACATATCTTTATTCATTTCACCCAATGCATTTGCTAAACCAAAACTGTGAAGTGAGTAATAGAGAGGGGAAAGGCATGCCAAATAAATAGCAGATGCACAAGTACATCTCTTGAATGAGAAAGCATTATTTTGGTTAGAAAACTAAATAAATGGATTTCGTTGTGAGATTATAAACCCTCAGGGTCTGTCTCCACTTGCATTATGAGGTACAGATGGTTTTTAGAATGAATGAGTACATATGTGAACGGGCACAGAGGATGCTGTAATGCAAGGATGTGACACATAGCCTTGAACCCATTAGGTGAGAATGCTACAATAGTTCTGTGATTTTAGCCAGTCACAAAGCAGAGAGAAAGTAAGTTTAAACATTATATCAAAATATTATAGAATATCTTATAAAATGCCAAAGGAATAGTAATTTCTTCTGTAATCCAGTTTGGTTTTTTTCCTTCTCTCTGCCTTCCCCACAATATACATGTATATCTTGTGAAGTTTAGACATAAGAGAAACAAGCTATATATGACATTCAAAAGCATATTGTTTGAGACAGCAACATGACATGACCAAGCACATTGGTTTAATTTAATTTCTGATCTCATAATAAACTGTAACTGCCCTATAGCAGAATGGCAGAATGAAGTTCTATCAGTATGATAACAAAATGCAGTTCAGTAGATATGCCTAGAATATTTACATCAAAATGTATCAATATTTAAAGTACAAACAACATAAGGAATTTATGAGGGATATTCTATATGTGCATATACTTAGTGTGTGTCAAGGGTAACATTTTAAACAAATATAGATTAGATTATCTCATAAGTGTGTGCCAGGTTATTAGGGAAGGGAGTAAATATGAAATTTCTCCTCACACCATAAACAAATAATTCTCAGAAAAACCAGCCGAGTGAGATAGGATAGAAAGACAGTGTAGTATGATGTCTCTCCAAAACCAAATAAAGGAAGTGATTTAGGTTTTAGTCAGGGCAACATGGCAGCATCAGTGCAGACTTTTAAACCATCCCAATTCCCCTTACAAAATGGTTAGAGCATCTAGAATAGTAAAAGTAAAACCTCATGGTTATCTTCAACAAACACAAGGATCATTCTTACAAATTCTAGAATATGGATAGGCAAGAAAAATTACCAACTATTGGCAGTAACAGAGAGGAGAAAGGGGGAACTTCCAACTTTCTGTGAGCTGGAGTACCAAGAATCCACAAGTACTCACCTACTAAAGCAGAAGTCTGCTCTTGGATGGAAACCTAGCAGGCAGGTCTGAGAATAATTGCCAAAACTAGAGAGAGGTTACAGAGCAGCAACTCTGTAGATGGGTGTAGAAAAACTAAAGTGAAATCAGATTATGCAGGGGCACTCAAGTTCCAGAGCCTCTGGAAATAGTCAACCAAAATTTCCTTCTGTAAGAAGAGAACCCCACACTAAGTAAAGTCTACTGAAAATAGAATTCAAATCTATATAAATAGAAAATGGAGAGAAGTCCTAGATATAAAGGAGAGAAGGGACCAGAGAAAACAGAAGGTACAAAGAGGTCCTATTTGTAAATATTTTGCAGAAACAAAAGAAGAAGGGGTCTTAAAGCCATGCATGAATCTAGGAAGGCTATTCTGGTCTGCTACCACCCCTACATTATAACCCCTAAAATATAATATAATCCATCTCAATAAAACGTGAGCAACAGAAAATAATTTCAGAATAAAATGTCTTGTAAGCAAAGACATTTTATTTCGTACATGCGCTGACTGACACAATAATGAACAGTGAAGATCCACTAGAAAAATATAGCAAAAAGGCCAATAAAAGTTTTTTTTTACTTAATATTTCAAAACCAGCTAAAGAACATTAGAAAAATAATAAAAACTGTAAAGGTTGCATAATCAATCAGACAAGGCAAAAATTAAAAGGCTAACCAAGAGGAGGATACTAAAAGAAAGAAAACAGAGCTCAAGAAATAATTGAGGATCCTCCATACTGTTCTCCATAGTGGAGGTACCAATTTACATTCTCACCAACATTGTAGAGGGTTCCTCTTTCTCTGTTCCTCAAAAAACAAAAACATAGAACTACCATGTGATCCAGCAATCCTATTGCTAGGTATATATTCAAAACAAAGGAAATCAGTACATCAAAGAGATATCTTCACTCCCATGTTTATTGCAGCACTACTCACAATAGCCAAGATATGGAATCAACCCAAGTGTCCATCAGTGGATGAATGGATAAAGAAAATGTAGTACAGGTAGATGCACAATAGAATATTACTCAGCCATAAAAATAGAATGAAATTCTGTCATTTGCAGCAACATGGATGGAACTGGAGGACATTATGCTAAGTGAAATAAGCCTGACACAGAAAGACAAATATTGAGGTTCTCACTAACATGTGGGAGCTAAAAATTACTAAACTCATGGAGATAGAGTAGAATGATGGTTACCAGAGGGCGGGAAGGGTAGTGGGGAGGGGAGATAAAGAGGGCATGGTGAATAGATACAAAAATACAGTTAGATAGAAGGAATAAGATTATTTCAAAATAACTGAAAGCATAAAATTGGAATGTTCCTAACACGAAGAAATGATAAATGCTTGAGGTGATGAATATCCCAGTTTCCCTGATTTGATCATTATGCATTATATGCTTTTATCAAAATATCACATGTACCCCATAAATATATACAACTATACAACTAGTATCTGTAATAATTAAAAATAAAAAAGTGTAAACAAAAAATTGGAAATGAGAGAAAAAATTCAGAAGACTAAACTGGAAAGAACAAAAGTAAATAAACACCAATGAAAATACAGTAAGAGAAATAGAAAATGGAAAGGAAAAAAATATTAAAAATCAAATGGAACTGAAAATATGGTAAATTAATGCCATATGATAAATATGATAAATTATACCATATGTCATAGACATATGTGTATACATATATATATACACACACACAACATAATATATATACATATGTCATAGAGAAGGCTATGAGTATGTAAGACCTCAAGGAACATTTTTCAAGAATCAAGTAGAAAATGAGTTTCAGACAACTGGGAAATACTGGGGCAGGTTCACCATAAGGCCACTAAAGATATTTAACTGTAGAGGTGATGGTGGATATAAAGGTGATAGAATAGTATATGCTTAATATATGCCCTGATCATCTGAATAAATTTTAACTACAAAAATGAGAGAAGAAAGGTAGAGTATATGGAAATAGAATGCTTTCTAATTGCCTGATAGGTATTAACTGGGAGTAACAGCTATTGCCATAAATTAGAAAAATGAAGAAATTAGAAGAAAAGAAATATTAAAGTTAAAAAATTAACAAACAAAAAACTCAGAATTTATGAATAAATAAATCTTGTTCCCTAAAAATCAATAAAATTAAATAAATTAAATGTGAGAAAGTAAAAAATAATAGCATACATAATAAGAAAGAGCAAAGAGAGGATAATGAGAGCCACCAAAGAGAGGAATTAACATCAAAAGAGACTTTTCTGCACAACTATATAGAAATTTATTGAAATACTTAAAAATGCATTTTATAGGAAAATTTAATTTACTAAAATTGATCTCAGTAAACATAGAATCTAAATGGACCAAACTTAAAAGAAAAAAATAAAGATATAAAGAAGCACCCTCGCAAAGTTTCAGAGTGACATCTTAAAAATCCTTTAAATCCTAGATCATCCAAATGCTATATAAACTATTCCAAAGCATGAAAAAATAAGGAAAATATTTAAAATCTTTTAATGAATTGAATGTAGAATTCATATCAAAATCTTAAAAATTGTACAAAATAGAAGACTATAGACTATTCCCACTTATAAATAGGTATGCAAAATTCTAAAATAAAATATTAGCAAAAAGAATTAATAGCATATTTTAAAATAATACCTCACAACATGTAGGATTTATTGCATAAACACAAAATGATTCAATATTAAGAAAACAATCAATGTAATTCACATTAATAGAGCTGTGGAAAAAAAATAAGAACATTTTCTTAAATGGCAAAAAGGCACTTAACAAAACCCAATACCCAGTGATGCAAAAAGCACTCAATAATCGTCAATGATTAATCCTTAAAATCGTCATTTTAAGTATCATTTAAATTTTAAAATCATTATCATCCTTAAAATGATATTTAATCCAAAAGCCAGATCTTCCCCAATGGAGATACTCTAGATTCTTTCTGGTGAAAGGAAGAACAAGACAACATGCCTAGTCTCTCTGCCAAAATTTAATGTTATATTGTAGAAATTAGTCCATACAAGTAGACAAGACAGCAATTAGAAACATCAGAGTTTGAAAGAATAAGGTGAAACCATCTCGATTGGTACACTATGTTATTTTTCTGGAAAGCTCAAAATAATTGATGGAAAACTACCATAAACAAAACAAATTAGTAAAGTTGCAAGATATAAAATAAACATGCAAGAAATTACATCACTACTCTTTACATATATGAATAACAATCAGTTAGAGGATGAATGAAAGAGAAGATTCCATTTACAATTTAAAATACCTAAGCAAAAACTTCACCCAAAAAATGTCTAACTTCTATGTGAGGAAAATTATATCTCCTGAAGTGCATAGAGTAAACTCGAGTAGATGTTTTTGAATAGAAATAGTAAATGTTAGAAAAATGCCAGTTGTTCCTAAGTAAATTTACAAATTTAACCTTATCTTAATATACATATTATATTTTTTTCTGGAGTTAAAGAACTTGATTATACTGTTTATTTGGAAGCATAAACAGACAAGATAACTGGGAAACACTAAAAAGAGCTGTGTGTGTGTATATGCATGTGTACACAAACATGCACTCATGCACTAACCCTATCAGATAACAAATGTATTATTAAAGCCTCGATAATTAAAACAGGGTGGCAATAGGGCATGACTAGATAGACTAATGGAACCGAATAGAAAATACAAAAATGGATCCAAGTGCATGGAAGGCTTCCTGTAATGATGAATTAGGTTGTTGTATACCAACCCCACCACTGAGAATAAGTACAAAAAGCTGGGTAATTAATAAAAAGGAGGAGGGACAGAGGAGGAGTGGAAGCTAGAGGTATAAGAGTAGAAGGAAAAGGAGAAGAAGAAAAAGAAACAGTTTTGTGTACGTGTGTTTGTATGTGAAGCATCAGAGAACCACCAAGGCAGTTAAGACTTGAGATGCCATGCTCCTGGAAAGATGAGAAACACAGAGAGGTAAACCTAATAGTACACTGTGCCTCTAACACCCTTGAGGCTGAGCAGCAATGTCAACTGCAAGGTGAAGTAGCTACACAGAACTATTGGCAATTTTTTGGGGACAAAAATTAGAGTTAAGGGTTGTAAACCCAAACGTATCTGAGACAGGCATCAATCAATTTAGAAAGTTTATTTCACCAAGGTTAAGGACATGCTCATGACACAGCCTTGAAAGATCCTGATGACATGTTCCCAAGGTGCTTGTGGTACGGCTTGCATTTTTATACGTTTTAGTGAGACATAATACATCAATCAATGCATGTAAGATGTACATTGATTCAATGTGCAAAGCAAGACAACTCAAAGTGGGGGTTCCCAGGTCATAGGAACAGTTAAAGATTTTGTGATTGGCAATTGCTTGAAAGAGTGAAATTATCTAAACACCTGGCATCAGTAGAAAGGAATGTCTGTGTTACAATAAGGGGTTGTGGAGACCAAAGTTTTATCTTTCAGCTGAAGACTCCAGGTAGCTGACTTCAGAGAGAATAGACTGTAAATGTTTCTTAACAGACTTAAAGTCTGTGTTGATGTGAATGTTGGTTGGCTTTTCCTGAATTCCAAAAGACAGGAGGTAAAATTAGGCATGTCCAACTCCCACTTCCTATCATGGCCTGAACTAGTTATTCAGGTTAACTTTGGAATGCTGTTGGTTGAGAGGAGGAATTCATTCAGATAATTGGGGTCTTAGAATTTTATTTCTGATTTGCTTACCAAGGAGGCAGGCCTTTGATAAATATGCCAGCCTGTAAGTTGGAAATCCTAGAAAGCTACACCTCAGGAGCAGAGGTAAACTAGAAAAGACAAGCTCTCACAAAGTATATTGCCAAGTTTCAAATAAAATCAATCACGTATTTGAGTCTGGTAATCTGTCACTACTCTAACTGCCTGCCAAAAATAATATTTAGACCTCTATAGAAGATAAAATCATTCAGAGCATTTGTGATTATTCACAACAATGTCCAGCATTCAATCCAAAATTGCTAGAGATACTGAGGAAAAGCCCACATGACCAGAGCTAATATATATATATATATATATATATATATATATATATATATATATACACATAATATACATAAATACATAATAGAAACAGGCAACAGGAAGTTCATGTATTGCATTATCCCACGTGGACTTTCAAATAGCTGTTCAAGAAATTAGATGCCATAATAGAGAATATCAGGAGAGAACTGAAAACTATTCTTTTAATGAAAAAGAAATTCCAAACTATAAAATACAACTGCCACTTCACACCTACTAAGATAGCTATAATAAAAAGAAAGATAATAACACGTGAGAATTAGTGATGATATGGAGAAATTGGAACTCTCATATACTGCTGATGGGAATGTAAAACGGTACAGTCTGTACGGAAACTGTCCAGGAGGTTCTCAAAAAGTCAAATCATAATACTCTGCAATTCCATTCCTAGGTGTATATCCAATAGAAATAAAAGTTATGTTCATATGAACATTTGTCCGGGAATGTTTATAGCAATATTATTTATAAAAGCCAAAAAGTGGAAACAACCCAAATGTCAATTAACTGATGAATATATAAACCAAATGTGGTATATCGATAAAATTGAGTATTATTCAGCAAAAATAAAGTACTGACACATGCTGTAAGACAGATGAACTTGAGAAAAATTATGCAAAGTGAAAAAATCCAGTCACAAAAGATCACGTATTTTATGATTGTTTATGTGTAATTTCCAGAAAAAGCAAATATATAGAGACATAGAAAGCAGATTAGTGGGGCTCAGAGGTTGGAGAGTTGGGAGAAGACGGTGAATGACTGCTAATGGGTATGGGTTTTCTTTTTTGATAATAAAAATGTTATAAAATTAATTGTAGTGGTGGTTATATGACTCTGTGAATTTACTAAAATCTATTGATTGTACACTTTAAATAGGTGAATTATTATATGATGTATGATTTATATTATATATGAATTATATATTAATAAATGAGTTAAGATACAGTAACTGAAAATTAAGAACTCAATGTTTGCATTAGATTAGACACAGATAAAGAGAGGATTAGTAAATTAGAAAATATATCTAATGAAAATATACAGACTGAAACACAGAGAGATGTTTGGAAAATACTGTAAAGAAAATAAGGGATGAGTGGAACAAAATAAAAAGATCTAACATAAACCTTAATTTATTACACACAGATTCTATGTGTAATTGGAATCTCAAAAAGAGAATGGAGATAATGGGCCAGCAGAAATATTTGATAAGATAGCAGCTGAGAATCTTTCAAAACTGACATTTAATCACAATTTTGTAAGTGCTACACACCACAGACATGATAAATAAAAAGAAAACCATAACCAAGCACATCACAGCAAAATTGCTGTAAAACAAAATAAAAATATCTTAAAAGCATTCAGAGAGAAATGACATATTATCTTCAAAGAACTGAGTGCATATGGAAATATAACACATGATAAAGGCCATACATTTAAGAAAAGAGGAATTTTTAAATCAGTGTGGTTGATGTAACTGGAGAGTTTTATGAAAAAAGATCAAACTGATTCATACCACACACCAGGATAAACTATACAAATAAATATAAGTAAATACTACAAGTAAACCCAAGTGCATAATTTAATAAACTGGGAATAGGAAAATATTTTCTTTTTTTTTTTTTGAGACAGAGTTTCACTCTTGTTGCCCAGGCTAGAGTGCAATGGCTGGGATTACAGCATGTGCCACCACGCCTGGCTAATTTTGTATTTTTAGTAGATATGGGGTTTCTCCATGTTGGTCAGGCTGGTCTTGAACTCCCGACCTCAGGTGCTCCAACTGCCTCGGCTTCCAAAGTGCTGGGATTACAGGCGTGAGCCACCGCACCCAGCCAATATTTTCTAATAAACTCAAAATCCAGAAGCAATAACAGAAATTGGTGACAAATTTGACTAAAAAATATTTTGTATGGCAAAAACAAACTCTAAATCAATTACAATATTCAGGAGGATGGGTTCTCTGGCCTCATGTCAATCTTGTGATGTGAAAGGTTGGGTCATGTGATTGGCAAGCACTTGGTGGAGAAAGGCCAGTTCCTCAAAGGAACATACTTCTGTCACTATAACACCATCAATTCGATACTATTTTTATCTTGCGTGTTCACTTATAACACAGATTTGTAAGTATACCTGGCTAAACCATGAATTCACCAGTTTTAAGTGCTATTGCACAGAGCAGAGCATAAGAGTAAAGCCTCATAATGTTAGTAATTGAATCTGCAGGTCATCTCTAAACTTGGCTTTTAATTTTTATTTCTCATTGCCTTATCTATCATTTTTAGTCTGTCATTCATTTTTCTCTTCAGCTAATATAATGGAAATAATTTGCCTATTGTTAGAATATTAAAGTAATCTTCAGCAATGAGACACAAGCAAATAGACTTTGATTATGAAGTTCAACTTTTTCTGATTTAATTTATTTAAAAGTATAGCTTCTATTTTTATCTAAAAATTATGGAAAACCCCTATCCTAAATGTTAATTACAGGAAGCATATGTGGTTAATTTTATGAAATGGACAAATTGAAAGTAATGAAAATAAAAGCTTCAGATTATTGTCAGATTATGTATCACATAAAAGATAATATATTAACCTTTGTGAACTTAAATAAATAATAGCTAAATTTTATTGAGTGTTTGTTATGTGCCAAATCTGGTGCTAAATGTTTTAAGTGTAGTATATTTTGTTTAATCTTCAAAATAACCCTTCAGGGTAGGTACTAATAGGGTCCCATTTTATTAATAAGGAAACCATGGCTAGTAATTGGTGGAACCTGGACTCCAACTCAGTGGTGTGACTGGAAGCGCTTCTCTTAACCCCTTCACTACATTGTCTTAAAGTGTGTCTTTTACACACTTGAAAGCACCTTAGGAAGGTCTAATTTTTAAAACAATAAACTTATAGTGGCCCTAAGTTATTCCATTTTGTGCTGATATAAAGAACACTTGAGAAGGGGCAATTTATAAAGAAAATAGGTTTATTTGGCTCATGGTTCTGCAGGCTGTACAAAAAGTGTGGTGCCAGCATCTGCTTCTGGTGAGGACTTCAAGAAGTATCTAATCATGGTGGAAAGGGAAGGGAAGTGGCATGTCACATGGTGAAAGAAGGATCAAGAGAAACGGGGAGGAGGTGCCATGCTTTTTTAAACAACCAGCTCTGTGTGTACTAACAGAGCAAGAACTCACAGGGACGGCACCAACCCATTCATGAGGGATCCACCCCCATGACCAAACAGCACCCACTGGGCCCCACCTCCAACATTAGGGATCACCTTTCAACATGAGCTTTGGACAAATATCCATTGTATGTCAGACCCTGTTTTAACAATTCTTTGGTATGCACAGATCATGTTCAACAAATGATAAATAAGCCATATGACCACTGGGCAGATATTTCCCTTGTGTTTGAATCTATAGTCATAGTGAATTCATAATTGAAGGATTATTCTGCAGACACATAAATATAATTGTTCTGATTCCCACCTTTTCTTACACACAAAGAAAGTCACGTTTAAAATAGAACTGATGACTTTTCTGGCCAAAATGGCTCCAAAAGTTCATATATTGCTTCAGTTTTCACTGCAGAAAAATAGCAACAAGAGATAAAATGCTTAAAGCACAAATAAAAGTAAAAATGGCATAGGCAAATTAAAACACAAGAAAATCATCTCCATGGCAATATCTAGTAAAGTTGAAGATATCTTAGAAAGTGGGATAATTTCATTTCTTGGTATGTACTCTAGAGAAAAATCTCCCAAGATATTGAACAAGAAATGAGCCGTGTGCAAGGCTGAAGTTTGGGCCCGGTCTACTGCAGGAAGTAGGCATTGCTAGACATGGACATTTTACATTTATGAAGGAAAGTGCTTAAAATGCTCTTTGCAAGATGGGGAACATAGCTAAGCTAAGCACTTAAAACCAGAAGCAGGTTAGGGCTGCTGAGCTCCCTCCTCCAAAAAGGATAGAACAAGATAAGTTGCTGACCACCTGGGAACTTGAGAACCTGGATAGACACTTGATCTCATGAATAAGAACTAAGTCAATCTGCCCATGACTTAAGGATCACTTCTATTACTATTTAAAAGTGTACCAATAGCTGTATATAATAGTAGAAAAAAAAAAAGGAAGGTAGGCAGGCAGTCAGGAAGGAAGGAAGGAAGAAAGGAAGGAAGGAAGGAAGGAAAGAAAGGGTGGGAGGAGGGAGGGAAGGAGGGAAATTTGGGGAAAAAAAATCTCAACAGTCCATATTTATAGACAATATCACTATCTAGACATCTATTCTATATGTAAACTATTAGAACTAACAGATAACTCATAACATTTGTGAATACAAGATCAATATCAAATATCTTTAACACCTCTATATACAATCAAATGGAAAATGTAATAGAAGAAAATCTCATAATCTCATTCACAATAACAAGGACTATAAGGTGTCTAAGAATAAATCTAACAACATTTTGAAGATCTTTTGGAAAAAAATTTTAAATTATTATTTTAGTAAATAAAATACCTAATTAAATGATGATATATAGTGGAAAGTAATACTCAATAATTTAAATGTGATAATTCTCTATGAATTCATTTATAAACTCAATGCAATTTAATCAAAGGGCCATCTGGATTTTTGTGGAATTTGACAATACTATTTAAAAGTTAATACAGAAGAATAAAGGTAAAAGAACAATGAAGACAACTTTGAAGAAAAAAGAAAGGATAGGAGGATCCTATGAGATAGAAAGAGATGAATAGATTAGAGTAGCCTAGAAATACACACCTGTGTGGAAATTTGATATGGAGATAGCTTAGTAAATAAAGAGAGAGTGTATAATTTAATAAATGGTGCTGAATTATTATTTTTATAAAAAGAAAATGAAATTGGATCTCTTCATCACATATGAAATTAAAATTAAATTTTAAACTTTGAGATTAAAATATAGGAGAGTATCTTTATAGTCTTAGAGTAGGAAAGACTTTGTTAAACAAAATACAAAAACACAAGAAAAGATTCATAAATTACTTTAAAATTAAGAAGTAGTGTTGAAACAATCATGCTATACAAAGTTATAAAAGAATCCACAACCTAGAAGAAGGCATTTACAATATACGTCATGAAAAAAAGCCTTAATATCCATAACCTTTATTAGGTTGGTGCAAAAGTAATCACAGTTTTTGCCATTGAAAGTACCAGCAAAAACAGCGATTACTTTTGCAACAACCTAATAACAAATTAGTAAGAAAGTGCTAGCTTAATAGATAAATGAACAAAGAAAAAATACAGAAAAGGAAATTTGTATAGTCAATAAACATATACACGTTCAATGTGATACAAGTACACAATGGTGCTCACCACTGGGAAGACAGGAGCATGTGGTCTTCAAATGTGGTTGTAATATTTTATTACTTTTAAAGATCTGAAGCAAATCTGGCAACATAGTAAGCTTTCACAGAGCTGAGTAGTTGGTAGTATTTTTCAAATAAAAAATAATGATTACAAGTATCAATATCAAATAAAAAGATTTTACTTTAAAACTTGGCTGCTTCTAAATTCATATTCATACTGCTTACTTAGGAAAACTAACTTGTCTTCTAAAAGAGTGTTTTTCCTATGCAAACTGTGGCAATGAATCTTTAAGCATTTAAGTGCTGTGGAAAATTTTTTAGGCATATGCTTTAATCAGCATCCTCTGCCAATGAGTTTTCTTTTCTTTCACATTACAAAGAATGTCAGTAGTGAATGCAATCATGTAACTCTACAACATTACTAGGGGTGAACCACAGAACCTGAGAACTGTTGGGGTTTTTAAAATACACATTTTAACTTTGAGCAAAAGAGCCCCTTGTTTCTGTGATGAATGAGATGTGGCATTTTCTGATTGGCAAGTGACCCATAGAAAGCACACAGAGAATGATCATGTCACCATTCAACTTCATAATTAAGTGTAGTTTTGTTTGTGGCCTTAATTGCATTTGTTGGAAGCTGAGTCCTTGATTTCTTAATCATGTCTACATTTTTACTTGCCTAGGTAAAAATGAATAAGAAGAGGAGGTATGTCTCCAAAGAAGTATAAGTTTGGGAGATTTGTTTGGTATAGATAAGCAGGGTGTTTATCCTATTACTTAGCTGACAGAGTTCTCCCAGGGAAAAGCTGAGTCTTTGTATCATCTGGGCATTTAATGATGACTGAGAATTTGTCCTTCTAGCTAAATGCTGCCAATGTGATATTTCTCCCTTAACTGCCTTGCCTCTATTAATAAATGGGCCAATTTAAGTGTCTAGGTCCTTGACATATCTTTACATATACAGATGTTGCATCCTAGCACAATTATGACTGACATCTTCCTGCCAGAATAAAATAAATAATTTAGCACCTTGGGAGGCCGAGGCGGGTGGATTATGAGGTCAGGAGATCGAGACCATCCTGGCTAACACAGTGAAACCCCATCTACACTAAAAATACAAAAAATTAGCCGGGCGTAGTGGCGGGCACCTGTAGTCCCAGCCACTCTGGACGCTGGGGCAGAGAGAATGACGTGAACTCAGGAGGCGGAGCTTGCAGTGAGTGGAGATCACGCGACTGCACTCCACCCTGGGTGACAGAGCGAGACTCTGTCTCAAAAAAAAAAAAAGAAAAATGTACATGACAGCACTTTGTATGCTGAAAACTGTTTCACAATGGTAACCTAACAATCCTGGAAGTAGAGAAAAGACAAACACAGATTTAGAGTCATATTTTTGTAACTCCACGTCCCGTTCCTTTAAAGGAAAAGAGATGTTTAGTAGTTACTGTCTCTTTGAGCATAAAGCTTCCTTCAAGGAGAGACAGGCAGAAGAAAAGGGTATGGTATTCACTATGGCCAAGCAAGCCCCAGTTTTCTCAGGAGAGTGAAACTATTGCAAGCCCACAAGAAGTGTCTGGCAACAAGTGGGTTCCTGGTGTATACTCATGGTCATTCCAAAAGCACAATCACACACTGATGACTATGTGGGACTGGGAAGAGGAGGAGCCCATCCCCAGCATCCTTTCCACCGATTGGAATATGCTAATCTGTGTGCAGAGACCCTTGGTTCCGTGTGCAACAAATGCCTGCCAGCACCAATGGGTTTGTAGAGCCAAAGATCTCCACTTCAATCAGTAAAATATGTCTGGACATATTAACCCGAAGCTATTCACAATACCGATATTATTGGTGGACCCACAAGCTGACCATGATTCATAGTGCAGGCGTGGCTTTGATAAAAGGCACAAAGAAGCTGACTCTTGGCATATCTGCTCCAATCTGAGGTGGTGATACTCATTTTTATGACCTTACACATTAAAAACAAGGCCACAAAAATTCATTTTATGTCGGCTTTTCTCTCAGCAGCCCCAAATGATCTCAGTCCCAGAATAGATTGAGATAGTGCCCTACAGGTGAAATATGTTTTAGCTCTCAATTATTATTATTATTATTATTATTAGTAGTAGTAGTAGTAGTAGTAGTAGTAGTAGTAGTATTTTGAGATGGAGTTTCGCTCTTGCCCAGGCTGCAGTGAAATGGCACAGTCTTGGCTCACCACAACCTCCACCTCCCAGGTTCAAGCAACTCTCCTGCCTCAGCCTCTTGAGTAGCTAGGATTACAGGCATGCATCACCACATCCAGCTAATTTTGTATTTTTAGTAGAGACAGGGTTTCTCCATGTTGGTCAGGCTGGTCTCTATCTCCAGACCTCAGGAGATCTGCCTGCTTCAGCCTCCCAAAGCACTGGGATTACAGGTGTGAGCCACTGTGCCCAGCCTAGCTCTCAATTATTATTTTTATTTTTGCTTTTAAAAATTATTTCTGTAAACCTAGAATGCACCCAAAAATATACAAAAACTTGAGCCAAAAGTCTTAATACAGACTTTGTGTCAGCTTTCACAAGCAGCTCTACTGATTCATTTTCTTTTCCACCTCCACTTCACATCACCTCTACATCAGTCCTAACTCCTCGCCTCCTGAGAAACCCTTTTCTGAGAATACAGCAGATGGTTTTTTAGATGAAAACACAGGAAAACAAATGCTAAACAGAAGAATGTTCTACCTTCTCAGGAAAATAAAGAGGGTACCTAGAGGAACATTGAATAATACTGGTCTAGGATTGTTACCTATGGCGGAGGAGGAAAAGAGGAGTCTCAGAGGAAAACACTGCTCATTTCTGTGCACTGGAAAGTGTGTTGTTTGCCATTTGACGAGTCCATTTAATACTGTAAGTTTACTTACTGACCCCCTTGAAAGTGCCAATTCTCTAAAATGATGTCATTTCCCTTAATTGAGACATGAATGAATGCATCAGGATTCAGAGGAGGTTGACCCTTCTGGAGTGCTAGTGCCTAACAGAACTTAACCTTGAAGTCAAGTTTAGGACCATAGGAAACCTCCATAACGAAGGCTAGTTATTGTTGATGCAGTCAGTCTCAGCTTCTTCACAGGATAACACCTTTGGACAGCAATAGTAGGGAAAATTCTCTCTTGTGCTCAGTACTATAGTCTACCTTCCTACATAATTTAAGTACTAATTTCCATTTCTTCGAGGCTACTGTGGCCAAAGGAGAGCTATTAAATGTGTTGTGTCTCCTCCTCCCCATCCCACTGCCTCCATCTTGGCCAATCTTCTTCCCTAGAGCGGCTCTCCTGTTACATCCAATCAGCCTGTGGCTCCCACTCTTTCCTCTTCCTGAGGCCATTCTTCCAGGCAACATCTTTTCTGACTTCCCCAATTAAATTTGCTAAACTTGTGGGATATGTACCAATGACATGTGCCATAGTGGGAAGACAGGCTTTTGGTGGACAAACAGACCTGGAGTCAAAATTATCTCTTGCACAAAACATAATACCTCACCCACAACATTTTTCCCTCACCAGAGTGAATCATGACCACAGATCCTGGTATCTTTTGTCCCAACCCAGAAATCTAAAAGCCAGTCTGACCTGCATAATCCCAAGCAAGTCAGTCCTTTTGTACTGTGATGGTTAATTTTGGGGGTCAACTTGACTAGATTGAGGGATACCCAGATAGCTGGTAAAGCATCAATTATTCTCAGTGCAGCAGTAGGTACTGAGCCTGTCTCTCTCCTGCTGAAAGGAAAACCCAGGTGGATTCACTTTTTTTTGGGGGGGGGGATTTTTTACCACATATTTATTTATTTATTTATTTATTATTATACTTTAAGTTTTAGGGTACATGTGCACAATGTGCAGGTTAGTTACATATGTATACATGTGCCATGTTGGTGTGCTGCACCCATTAACTCGTCATTTAATATTAGGTATATCTCCTAATGCTATCCCTCCCCCCTCCCCCCACCCCACCACAGGCCCCGGTGTGTGGTGTGTGATGTTCCCCTTCCTGTGTTGCTTTTGATTAGAACGATGAATGATGGGGCTGTTCCAGGTGTGTCTATGAGGGTGTTTCCAGAGGACATTGGTATATGAGCCAGTGGACTGAGTGGGAAGATCTGCCCTCAATGTGGACAGGTGCCATCCAATTGGATGGAGGCCTGAATGGAACAAAAAGATGAAGAAAGGGCAAATTTAATCTCTGTGCCAGTGCCAAGACATTCTTCTTTTCCTGCCCTTGGGTATCAAAACACCAGGTTCTCTGGCCTTCGGACTCCAGGACTTATGTGACACCCACCTCCCCACCCTCATGCTGTTAGACCTTCAGCTTCTGAGTGAGGGTTACACCATTGGCTTCCTTGGTCCTGAGGCCTTTAGACATGGGCCAAGCCATGCTATCTGCTTTCCTGGTTCTCCAGCTTGCAGACAGCCTATCTTGAGACTTCCCAGCTTCCATAATCAAGGGAGCCAATTCCTCTAACAAATCCCTTTTTATGTATTACTGTCTATATTCTATAGTTTCTCTCTCTGGAGAAAGCTGACTAAAACAAGTCCCTTTCACATGACTAGAAAAGACCCTAAAATCCCATTTCTTTCTCAGAATCTTCAAAACATGTTCCTATGGCAAAATATTCTGCTCATTTTGACATTCTAAATGGTATATATATCCCTGTTACTACACATCAAAAGTGAGTTATTCTAGTTTTGGGGAGCCAAGAGTCCTTTTAACACACTCCCTTTAGCTCCATGGAAAAGATCCTCCCTTCTTTACATAAATAATTTACTGATTCATCAAATCACCAGCCAATCTGTCTCCTCTCACTTGTAACTTTCTCACTTTATGTTGACTTGGTTCAAGGTCAAATAGGAAACTTTAATTAGTTCCAACCTCACAAGTTTAAAGATAAATTTATGAGGTTGTTTTTTTTTTCCCCCAAATAGGTGAAGTTCTGTCTCCTGGCTGCATTCTGCAGCTAGTAATTGATTTGTTTAGTTACATATAAAGAAGCTGAGCATTCTATAACACATTGCTGTTCAATAGAACTCTCTATTATGATAGAAGTTTTTTATATCTATGGTAGCACTATCCACCTGTGACTATTAAGGACTAAAAACATAGCTAGTATGACTGAGAACTACTTTTTAAATTGTACTTGCTATGGTTTGAAGGTTTGTCCCCTTCAAAACTCATGTTGAAAGTTAATCTCCAATGTGGCAGAATTGACAGGCAGGGCCTTTAAGAGGTGAGTGGGTCATGGGGGCTCTGCTCTCATGAATAGATTAATTCATTCATGAATTAATGGATTAATATGTTAATGGATTAATATGTTAATGGATTAGTGGGTGCATGGGAGTGGGATTTGTGGCTTTAGAACAAGAGGAAGACAGACCCAAGCTAGCAAGCTTAGCTCCTAACCATGTGATGCCCTGAACTGCCTTGGGACTCTGCAGAGAGTCCTCACTAGCCAGAAGGCCCTCACCAGATGTAGCCCCTTGACCTTGGACTTACCAGCCTATATAACATAAGGAATAAATTATTTTTCTCTATAAATTACCCAGTTTCAGTTATTCTTTTAGAAGCAACAGAAAACAGAGTATGACAGTACTTAATTGTAATTAATTTCATTTTAAATAGCCACAGGAAACTAGTGCCTACTGTACCGTGCAGTGCAACGCTAGATTAATAATGGTGACAAGGTCCTATTTCCACTGGAAATAAAAACTTATTTTAAAAGTCCAAAATAATAATAATAGCCATCATTGCTATCACTGCTCATGTAGAGGGGACAATTAGAGATAATGAGTTAATTTAAGGATCCATATTTTCTTTATTTAGTAGAACCCTAGTGAATAATCTAAAATCATGGTCTGTTAGGGACAATGATAACAACGTATAGAAATTTTTACTCATAGAAGGCAGTATCACCAGTTAGAATGGCGATCATTAAAAAGTCAGGAAACAACAGGTGCTGGAGAGGATGTGGAGAAATAGGAACACTTTTACACTGTTGGTGGGACTGTAAACTAGTTCAACCATTGTGGAAGTCAGTGTGGCAATTCCTCAGGGATCTAGAACTAGAAATACCATTTGACCCAGCCATCCCACTACTGGGTATATACCCAAAGGATTATAAATCATGCTGCTATAAAGACACATGCACACGTATGTTTATTGCGGCACTATTCACAATAGCAAAGACTTGGAACCAACCCAAATGTCCAACAATGATAGACTGGATTAAGAAAATGTGGCACATATACACCATGGAATACTATGCAGCCACAAAAAATGATGAGTTCATGTCCTTTGTAGGGACATGGATGAAGCTGGAAACTATCATTCTCAGCAAACTATCGCAAGGACTAAAAACCAAACACTGCATGTTCTCACTCATAGGTGGAAATTGAACAATGAGAACACGTGGACACAGGAAGAGGAACATCACACACTGGGGCCTGTTGTTGGGTGGGGGGACGGGGGAGGGATAGCATTAGGAGATATACCTAATGTTAAATGACGAGTTAATGGGTGCAGCACACCAACATGGCACATGTATACATATGTAACTAACCTGCACATTGTGCACATGTACCCTAAAACTTAAAGTATAATAATAAAAAAAAAACCATAGGAAGCAAACAGATCCAGAATTCAGGGAATACACCACCTATAATAAATTATACCTAGCTGTCTTTCTCCACTAAAAAATACAATTATAGTAATTTAATAGCCTAAAAAAAAAAAAAAAGAAGGCAGTATAACATAAAAGGGCACAGTCTCTGGGCCTAGACTTCCTTATGAGCTGTGTATCTTAGCCAAGTTCTTAACCTGTTGTGCCTTATTTCCCTCAACAGTAAGATTGGGACAATAATAATGTTGTTAATCCATATAAAATACTTAGAACAGAGACTTGCACATGATAAGTACTCCATAAATGTTAGCTGTCATCCTCCTTAAAGAATAAAGACAGCCCCAAATCTATATTAACCCTGGCATCAGACATGACTGATTTCTTTCTCTCAAAGGATTCAAGTCATGTTAGAAACATGTGATATCTGTGGTCTAAGGAAGTTTGACATTTAATAAAAGTCAAGTGGCCTTCTATCAAAAGACTTCCCATGGTAATTGTCAATTAGTTATTCAAGGGCCTGTCGATAGAATTTTCCCACATCTGGTTGAACATGAGCACTCCATTAGCAAAAGCATTTACAGAGGAAGCATGATGCATTGAACCCCTTCTTTCATCTAAGAAGAACATTTCCTTAGATTTAATCAGTCTTAACCAGAAACTACAGACATTCAAGTAGAGATGTAAGGAAAATTTTAATGGGGTAACAAATTCCTCAAAAAATATTATCAGAAATATTGTTTGTAATAAATCAAAAGCTAATTTTGCCACAATGTAAACTTCATTATTATAATACTGCTTAAAATGGGTTCATTCTACCAAAAGTAATACAATTTAAAAAGAAACACAAATTTTAAAATAATTTTGTTCATATTTTTCTCAGTTTTTGATCTCCTAGTTTTTTCCTACTCAAAAATATTACTTTCAAAACCTTTATTTTTCTTAGAAAACAAGTAAAAATAATGCTATGGGAGTTATTAAATAAGGTTGTCATTAGAAACAACTAGAAATTCTAGAGAAGAAACCTGACTTGTGATGTCATATTTGTTAGGGAATTTTAAAATATGGTTTTTTCCTTACAATTCCCCCACTGGACAAAATGACTTCTGTATGGCAGACATTGAGAAGAAAGGAGTAATCTACACATCTCTCCTCCTGGTTCTTATCCCCACCCCATTTCCTCCAGCCAGGGAGGTCCCCGGAAGGAGCATTGATTGGGATGAGAGGAAACAGATCCTATTCCTTTCCTCTAACTTCCTGGCCTTCAGCAACCCACTCAACCTTAAAACCTGGTTCTTCAATTGAAAATTAGTAATTGGCAATGTGGTAATTTCCAAGATCCCTTCTGATTCTAAGAGTCTGTAAACTTAAAATTTACAGAAAATCTCTTAATTAGCTTCTATTTATCAGCTAATGTAGGTATCATTTATATTTTCCCTTCAAATGAGTTTTGTTCTTATAAATGCATCTTCATGAGATGTAGCCCAGCCTACCCAACTATGATGCCACTCTTCTGGATCTTCTCTTCCAAGTACTCCCTAGTCTTAGAATAATGGAGTATAATACCCCACAAGAGCAGCAGAGTTTTAGGAGCAGATGATTAAGTGTTGAGGTTAAATGACGTCTGTTAGACTACACTATGTGGAAGGATGAATACGGGTAAACAACATTTTAATATCACCAATCGATTATTTTTACAACTGATTATTGTAAAAAATGTCTACTGTTTAATTTTTTCAGTACCATATGCTTGGCATAAGGTAGAAGCAATCAAAACTAAGAAGCTGTCTTGTATTTATGAACCTCTAAAAGTGGGCCTAAGAGTGCTTTGAAAACTTGCAAGCTCCATGGAACAACCTCAGAGAAGCTGAGTGATCTCTTCCAGTCCCAGGCACAGTCAAAGATAGAACCTCCTGCAATTATTTCCCTGACTCCTAGACCCTTCATTACCCTACCCTAGGAGGCTAGGAATACCCATTCTCTATGATTTGCACCCATTTTCTGTAACTAGCCTCTGGTCTGGCTTGCCCTTAGTCACACCTCATCTTGTACCGTGGTTCCAATAACTGTATCAAGATCTTGTCCTCAGGTGTTCTCCTGAATTCTTAGCTGGCTGTTAGGACTGTCCCTGTCCACCACACCTTCATAGCTAGCTGAGAAGTGGAGTCACTTCTCAGCAGTTTGGATACCTGTGCTCTTGTCTTGCTTTTCAAACTCTTCAGCTATTGTTATCCTCCCTCTGAGTCCCTGGTCCAAAGCTGTCCTTCATACCTGTGCTTGTGTTAAAAGAGCATAAATAACAATGAGTCTAGCCCTGCCAATTCAGAATGACATCTCTTAGATGCTGGCACTGTGCTGGGATTTGGGGTACAATAACAAATAAAGCATTGTTCCTGTCTGGAGTTGCTAACAGTCTAGAGCCAGGGTTCCCTGTCTGTGGCTTCAGGGTCATCAGAGGTTCCTGAAAAGTCACATGTGCTCTGGGCATTTTCAACCATAGTGTTCGTTCTGGGGTTTGGAGTTTTGTGTTTCTTAATCTGTTTCTGTGTGTAGTCTCTTTCTTGAGGACACAGCATACACTGTTTAATAAATATGATTCAATAATAATAATTGAGTTTGGAGTTCTTTCTGACTTTTTCAGAGAACATTCCACTTTTAAATGAAGGCATTGTCATTTTCATTTCTTTTTAAATCTTCAACACTTTAAATACTCATAACAGTAGACCTGTGTTACATGATTAAAATGTTGTAAGTCATTTGATATATTGTCCCCAGATGGGAGATGTAAAATAGGATGTTTGTCCACAAATCCTCTTCCAAAACTTAGCAAAGAAGTGGGTAGGAAGGAGCAGTACAGTTTGCCAGTTCTCTGGATGTGTTTATTTAGTTCATCTGCTTGCAAAGCATTTCTGTATCTCATTTGTTTTTATTCCAGGAAAAGACTGACAAATGAGTTATAAAATTCCCACTATATATATGAAGAAACTAAGCATAAGTGAGGTCAGAGAATCTCCCAGAAATAACATATTTGACAGTGGCAGTGTTGAATCCAGGGATTGAAAATCTAGCACGGGTGGGCCATGTGGGTATAGGGGACTTTCCAGTTCCGCTTCTGGACACTGCCCGTTCTTTGTCTATCCCATGGGTTGGGTGGTCTCTATGGTCCTTCGAGCCCCTCATCCAGATATCCAGATAGCCAGCCTCCTGTTCATTTGTTCTCCACTTTCTTCCCACTTCTATGTCTAGCACCAAGTGCACTTTGATTGTTAGGCCTTCCCATGTCCCTGAGACATGGGCGATTAGACCCCCCAGGAGAGCTCCCCAAGATGCTCAGAATCCTACTCCTAAATCATTCTAAGGAACCTGAGAGGAGGAAGAGTCCGGGAACTCAGAGCTCACATCCTTTCCTATGCAGATAAACTCAGTAACGCACATCTACATAAAGGTGGGACAAAATTCCCAGCAGCAGGGAGAAGACTCAGCAAGGCCCTGGTGGGGGCAATTCTAGGCGGACGTGAGTCACTGACACTCACTGACCTCACTGGGCGGTGCCCTCCTGAGCACTCAGCCACACCCACAGCCCCTTTGCCTTTGCATCACAGGGGAGAAGCAGGTGGAGAGGAAAAGCACAGAAACATGTCTGGCCCTGACCACAGGGCACAGCTTCCTGAAAGAAAAAACTTGGATTGTTCATAGGAAATAATGGAACAAGCATTAGTTAATCTAATTATGGTATTAAAAACAAACAAACAAACAAACAAAAACAGAGGGTTTCCCGAATGATTTCTTTGCTGACTTCTCACTTGGGTTGAGAGACCCAGGAAGAAGCAATAAGTATGTCACAGTCCAACAGGGTTTGGCCCACCATCTGATAAAAATGAGTGTCCATGCTTACAATAACAGCTAATATTTATTGTGTGTGTACTAGATGCCAGACATGCTCTAAGTGTATAATCTCATTTTGTCCTCAAATAACCCTAGAAATTGCCATTATTTCCAATTACAGATACAAATCTATTTGGGAATATTCTGGGTACTGACCTACTATTTGGTCTAAGGCTTCTACATCTTTTTCAACTTGGAGAACATTTTGGAAATTTTTTTTCTCAGTCAATCTTCAAAACACAAGATTTCTTGGCCCATTATTTATACAGGTTCTATAAGAGTAAAATAGGTTCTCCCCTGGGGAGAGGGACTTTAAAAAGTGCGAGAAATAGCAAAGACAGGAGGTTGTCACTCAAACAAGTAGATATGCTAAAGCTGCCAGCAGAGACAGACTAGCAGGTAGTGGAATAATAATTAATATTTTATTACTCTCAGAGCTTCATTCTTTCATTAATGTTTGAATAAGATAGGTCTGTTTTATAATGTTTTCTTATGTGTGTTTCTGGGTCTACTTACTTCTCCTGTATGTTTTGTCTTTTTTCCCCCTTTCAGGTTTTTTCTTTCTTGTTTCTGTCATTCAGTTTCAGGTAGCCTTTTGGGTCTCTTTTTGCTTTGAAGATTATCTCTTTTTTTTTAATCCTTGCTTTTTGTTGGAGGAGTCTTTACCTCTATCATTGTCATTTGTTAAAACTATGTTATTTTTCCATTCCTCTCTTTTCATCCACTTAGCCAATTGTGATCTGTTTTCATTCATTCTGTTTTTAATTACAAGCTTCCTCGCATGGTGCTTTTTCTCTGCTCTCCTTCATAATTTTCCTTTATCTCTTCATAACTAATTTTTTTCTCTAATTAATGGGAAGCTTATCTAACTATTCAAGTATTTATGATTTCTCCCTAATTGGTCCTTCTTTCTCCTTTCCTTGGGATCTTCCTCCAGCACTCAATTTGGTAATGCACTGAGTTGAAACAGAAGGATCTCACAATTTTTCCATTACTCAGTCATTCTCTATCTTTCAGAAACAAGTTCATGAAATTACCTACAGTGCCTTTAGGCTATAGTTCTCCCTTTAGCTTAGATTAAAATGTGACAGGTGTAGCTGGAAGTTACCTACATTAATCACAGACAGAATATAAGGAACAAAGTGCATCAGGAGGTAAGGACTGGAGTGCAAGAGCTTCTAACTAGTGAAAGCAAGGTACTTACGTGTGCAGACAGTCAGAAAATGGTCCTCTCAATCAATGATGTGGGAGATGAGCTGGAGTTTCCTTTGTCTCCCTGAAGTTGTAAATCTTTGAAAACAAAAGCAATTTTGAAAAATATAGTTAAAAATGTTTCATGGGGGTCTCACTGCCTTTTTTTGGAGACAATTTTCCAGGCCACCTTGCATTTGTTTGGTTCTTATTTCCAAAAGGCATTGGCATTATCTCAATTCATCTTATTAATAACTCTAAGAAAAAAAAAAACTGCACTGAAATTGCCCAGTTCACAGGTGAGCTTTCTCAGGGATGGAGTTTCACTTGTTCAATCTAATGTAAGATTTAATAACAAACAAGGTTTTCGGTCTATGTCTGTTGAGTTCTGTGCTTTCTCAAGATTTAGTTCCCTGCCACTCTCATCTTCCCTACGCACTCCCTGCTTCTATATTCCTGTTTTCTCTCCTTTTACAACTTTTGGAATCTTTCATATTTTATCACTAGAGAAACAGGATGATATGAACTAACTGAGGGAGAAGAAAATAGTCACCACTTTCATGTGTTCTAATGAAGTTGACCATACTCGATATATCTAAACCTCGCCTAGGAATTATTCAGATACAAAGATACTATCTCTGAGGGGTTCATTAAAAATTCAATTGAGGCCGGGTGTGCTGGCTCACACCTGTAATCCCAGCACTTTGGGAGGCTGAGGCGGGCAGATCACGAGGTCAGGAGATCAAGACCATCCTGGCCAACATAGTGAAACCTCGTCTTTACTAAAAATACAAAAAATTAGCTGGGCGTGGTGGTGCACGCCTGTAGTCCCAGCTACTCAGGAGGCTGAGGCAGGAGACGTGCTTGAATCAGGGAGACGGAGGTTGCAGTGAGCTGAGATCGTGCCACTCCAGCCTGGGTGACAGAGCGACACTCTGTCTCAAAAACAAACAAACAAACAAACAAAAACAACAAAAACAAACAAAAATTCCATTGAAGAAAACAGATAAATCAAGGATGAAAATGACAGTGAAGGCAGGTCTGGCCCACTGTTTAGTAGGGAGGAAGTCTAAGAGCCTCACATAGTGAGAAGGCTGAGGAACAGAAGGCCAAATACTTATTTTAGGTTTTATTTTTACTGCCTTTATTGCTCTTAACTCCGCAGACTTCTCTAGCAACAGCAGCAGCTATGACCCTCCCCAGGTTCTGGAATGCTCAGAAATCTAAACTCTGCCTCCCACTGCTTCTGTGTGGAGGGAAAAACAACTGAACATTCCCCAAAAAGCTTCTTATCACAAGTGTCTAAAAATTCTTTGAGTGTGCTCTCAAGATATGCTGTCATGTGTCAGCTTCCTTGTTTACTTTTTCAGAGCCTCAAGGGACTGAAACCTGTGGTTTTGTGAAACACAATTCCTTTTTTACTATCATTATCCATAAGCTTGTGCTCAAGGTCACCCGTTTTACTGTTCACGTTCACTTTCAACTAGGCCTGAAATGATACCAAAGAGATGGAAGGAAGCTTCTGGCTTTATCCCAAGTGAAGCAGGCACCTCCCTGTTTTAGCATATGATTCTGCTTAGCTTCCTATAGCTCGTCTTTCTCCATTTGACTTGCTTGCTCACTCACTTGCAATTGTAGGCATTTGCTTTATCATCCTTTGGTGAAGATGAGGGTGAAAGTGAGTGTGAGAGAGTATGGAAAATGGGTAGGAATGGAGGAACAACTGAGCAGATATGCTGTCTGGCCACCTAGTCTTCATAAAAAATTTGATAGCCCCTACCCAAAAGAATATAAATCATTCTACTATAAAGACACACACACATTTATGTTTATTGCAGTGCTATTTACAATAGTAAAGACGTGGAACCAACCCAAATGTCCATCAATGACAGACTGGGTAAAGAAAATGTAGTACATATACACCGTGGAACACTATGCAGCCACAAAAAGGAATGAGATCCTGTCCTTTGTAGGGACGTGGATGAAGCCATCATCCTCAACAAACTAACACAGGAACAGAAAACCAAACACTGCATGTTCTTACTCATAAGTGGGAGTTGAACATTGAGAACACATGGACACAGGGAGAGGAACATCACACACTAGAGCCTGTTGGCGGGTGGGGGTTGAAGAGAAGAAATTTAGAGGAGGGGTCAATAGGTGCAGCAAACCACCATGGCACACGTATACCTATGTAATGGCTTATGTAACAAACATGCATGTACTGTACATGTATCCCCTTTTTTTAGAAGAACTAGAGAAAAAAATAATAAAATAAAATAAAAAATTTGATAGCCCCATTGCACTACTTGATGGGAGAGGCCAGCTGGGATGGCAGAGGGTCTGTGGTCTGTGGTCATAATTCTTGGTCTAATCTAAGTTGATGAAAACTGCTCTTGGAAATATTTATTAATAGTTCTGAAGCCAACTTGAATAACAAATCTGGTGTGAAAATAGATCTTATCCTGTTTCCCTGTCGTCAGTCACTTTTCTGATTTCATCCTGGAATACAAACATATCAGATAAATTTAGTCTGTCTAAGGAGAAGCATTATATGTTTTTAATGACCAATAACAATTTATCTTGAGAAATCTGTTTTCCACTAACTGATGTAGCCCAGTAAATGGCTAAGGGAATTGTATTTTTTCATAACCAACAACTCTCTCGGTGATGCTTTTCCAAATAGGTGCACAAACCAAGAAAAAATATGTCATAAATGTTATTGAAAAAACTAGTTTTCTGAGACAGTGAAAACATTTGATTTATTTAAATTAAAGCAGAATGGCAGTGGCTTGCGTTTAATTCATGTTGTCTATGAAATTGAAGCAATGCATTCGTCTTGATTTTTCATGCTCATTGTCCCTCTCTTTAAATGGTCAACTTCAGTTGCCTGTTATTTGCTCAAGTTGTTTACCTTTGAGTATGTTTTTGACCAACAATCAAACAAGTGTATTGAAATGTCATAGTTTAACACATGGTCAGTAGTCTCCTTTAGAAAATCCATTTGTCCTCACAGAGTATTTACAGCCCCCAAAAGATGTTATTTTCTTTGATAATGAAACAATGTTGTGCTTAGGAATTTGGTAATGGGAATAGACTGTTTGCTAGTACCCAAAATGCTAAAATTGAAAGAATCCTCATAAATATTTAGAAGCTAGCATATGCAATCACTTAAAGTTTGGTGTGTAGGTACCTTCCATGAATTTCAGAGTCAGCTTGGCAAAGGAAGATGACTGATTAACACATGTTCCAAGTAATTTTGTAAACTGATACTGATCACTTCTAAAATCCTCTTAAACTTCACAAATTTGAGATGTGTGGAAAGGTATATAGAAGTATCTTAATTTTGGAGATAAAATCTTCATATTTTTTACACCAAACTCTGCAAGTAAAACTGATAGTTTATGTTAAAATGTCATTTTTTGCAACTAGCACAAAACTAAAAAGTGTTTTAAATACCTCAAAACAGGTGACTGTATAAGAAACCCTGTGCCTCAGAAATGAATATGTAGAAATGTGTTTTACCAAAATCAGGGTTATATGAATATATTTTCTTTTCTTTCTTTCTTTTTTTTTTTTTTTTTTTTTTTTTTTTTTTTTTTTTTTTTTGAGATGGAGTCTTGCACTGTCGTCTGGGCTGGAGTGCAGGGGCACAATCTCAGCTCACTGCAACCTCCACCTCCTGGATTCACGCCATTCTCCTGCCTCAGCCTCCTGAGTAGCTGGGATTACAGGCACCCACTACCACGCCCAGCTAATTTTTTGTATTTTTAGTAGAGAAGGGGTTTCACCATGTTGGCCAGGCGGGTCTGGAACCCCTGACCTTGTGATTCACCTGTCTCGGCCTCCCAAAGTGCTGGGATTATAGGCGTGAGCCACTGCGCCCAGCTATATGAATATATTTTCTAAGTGTGCCTTAGGTTGTACATGTCAACAACATTATTTATAATTAACTTATACCAGCATTTACATACATTTTTCTTTTATAGAAAAAGGTCATCATCACACACAAGGCTAAATTATAGGAATGTATAGAATAATTTTTAAGGAAATATTATTTTTTCCTTTTACATGGAACATGTAAAATAGTATCATTTATAAGTGAAATGAGGTGAAATAAATTACAGTTCTCAATAGGCTTGCACTAAAAACCCCAAAGACCTTTATATTACAGGAACCTGCTAGTCCTGAAAACGAAAGGCAAGCTAAAAGAATCTTTACTGTTTCAGCTCCCTTAGTTTGGAAAATGTAAAAACTGCTCTGAAAACAGAGTATTTTATTCTTAATAGCTCAAAACATTTTCAATGAGGAAATGATTTTCAATATTCTATTAAGCAGGAATCATAGGAGGGATGTTTATGCAAAATTCTGGATTAGTAGAGTACAAATTAAATAGTAATTATAGTAAAACAGAAACAGATTGTCCAATCATAACTCTAGAGGTACTTTAAAAATTCAGCCACAAAGCAAGATTTGGGAACATGTTGTGATTATTGAGTGACCGTGTGGGTAGCAGCTGTCTTCTGAGTTTGGAAGGGGCTAAATGTCTGAGTTTCCAAAGCTTTATTTGTCATAGGATGCCATATTGAAATGGCTTATCAATCTTTCCCCAGAATTTAGTTCAAGAGGAAGATGACTATGAACTTCAGAGTAAAAATGAGTAGCCAAGCTTTCATCATGGGAGGAAGAAAAGATTTATAACCAGACACATATGATAGTCATTTACTTTATTATTAATGCTTTTGAACCTAAGTAAATTTAGTATTGCAGGTATCACACAAAGAAGGAATCCTTCTCTGGGCTGGAATGAACTCAGAGAAAGGATCCATGGATTACCCTGGTGAACCTGATACTTTACTCTGGACGATTTTTCCCATCACTCCCTATTTATTGCCGTGTTGTCCTCCTTTATCCTTCCATTGTGAATCACACAAGCTCATATCATGGATATAGGAGGAAAACAACACCTCTGATCCCAGGCCAAGCTCTGAATTAACCAAGACATACAGCAGGACTCTTGTGGATAGAGATCAATAGATCTGATTTAATAGTAACAAAGCTATTTGTTCAATACAGTTAGATGTAGCCAAGCTCTGAATTAACCAAGATATACAGCAGGACTCTTGTAGATAGAGATCAATAGGTCTGATTTAATAGTAACAAAGCTATTTTTTCAATACAGTTAGATGTAGCCAAAAATGAGCTTGATAACGTTATTCAAAATTAAATACTCACCCCAGAACATAAATTTTCTGCAAGCAGACACCTCCACCAAAAGAAAGCAGAAGCCCAGTCTGTCTCCAGAACTCAGCAATCACCCTAAATGGTAAAGAGAACTCAAGAGTGTTACTCTAATTCACTGGTTCTCAAATGTGTTAGAGGGCCAAGGCACCCATAAACCCTTTCCAGGAATCCACAAAGTCAAAACTACTTTTATGATGACACCATTGCCTTTTTCACTCCCATTTTCTTACAAAT
Organism: Homo sapiens; assembly: GCF_000001405.40. Taxonomy (NCBI): domain Eukaryota; kingdom Metazoa; phylum Chordata; class Mammalia; order Primates; family Hominidae; genus Homo; species Homo sapiens. The sequence goes on along the minus strand of NC_000004.12, from coordinate 154,201,588 downwards.
ATATAGTTGGGTTTCCAGAGGCTATATGACACATAATATTGTAACAGATTGAATGTAAAATTCAGAATCCATCTGATTCCCATTAAAGACATTCATTAAATTGATTTTCAAAAATGTAAAACAATGCCACTTTTCTCACTAGGTTATTTCCTGAACTATTTTAAAAGCTTTTAGTTTTGGACACCATTTTAAGCTTACGGAAGAGTTACAAAGATAGCACAAACAGTTCCAGTATACCCTTCACCCAGTTTCCTCTGTCAACATTTCATATAATCATAATGCAGCTACCAAAACTAAGGAATCAACATTGATATAATACTACTAACTAAACTACAGAATTTATTTGGATTTCAAAAGATTTTACATTAACATATTTACTCTGATCCAGGATCTAGTTCAGGGTACTACATTGCATTTAGTAGTCATATCTCTTTAGTATTGTCTGATCTGATAGTCAGTTGTACTTGTCCTGCATGACCTTGACATTTTAAAACAGTACTGGTAAGAGATTTTGTAGAATGGCCCTCAACTTGGGTTTGTCTGATATTTTCTCATGATTAGATTAAAGTTACGGATATGCGAAGGGAATGCCACAGAGGTGGTGATGTGTATTTCTCCGGGAATATATGATATCAATATGTCTTGACACTGGTGATAATAAATTTAATTATTTGGTTAAGGCTGTGTCTACCAGGTTTCTCCATAGTAAATCACAACTTTTCACTTTGTAATCAATAAAAATTTGGTCTATGCAAAACCTTATTTATCCTTAAACTTTTGCCCACTAATTTTAGCATTTATTGGTGGATTGTATTATTATGGTGTTCTAATGGTGATTTCCTATTTCCCTCATTTCATTTGATGTGGTTTGGCTGTGTCCCCACCCAAATCTCATCTTAAATTGTAGCTCTCCTAATCCCCACATATTGTGGAAAGGACCCTGTGGGAGGTAATTTAATCATGGGGGTGGTTTTTCCCAGGCTGTTCTCCTGATAGCGAATACGTCTCATGAGATCTGATGGTTTTATACAGGGCAGTTCCCCTGCACACGCTCTCTTGCCTGCTGTCATGTAAGATGTTGTTTACCTCTGCCATAACTGTGAGGCCTCCCCAGCCATGTGGAATTGTGAGTCTATTAAACCTCTTTTTGCCTATAAATTAACCAGTCTAGGGTATTTCTTCATAGCAGTATGAAAATGGACTAATACACCATGTAAATATGTAGTTTAAATAACTCTGTAAATGTTGTTCTTTATCACTCACTTATTTATTTATTCAATCATTAACATATCAATGTGGAGTCATGGACATTTATCTTATTCTTTAGATTGCATATATTATCATAAATTACATTATTGCTCCAATTGTTCCATCTTTGGCCATTGGAAGTTTTTCTTATTGGCTCATTTGTTCCTCTGAGACTTTCTTACTATCTGATACCACAAAATGTTTCAGCCTCATTTTGTACTTTTCCTGCTCCAGCCCTGGATCAACCAGTTCTCCCAAGAAGCCTAGTTCCTTTTACTGAAGATGGTATTTAGAAATCAAGATCTCTGAGTGCTGGGTGTCCTCATTGCTGTGGGAATACCACTGTTTCCAGATCCTAGAGTATAGAAATATATGTATGTATACAAACTAATGTCTATTTATCCATCTATCTATCTGTCATGTATTTGTTAAAAACCATAAGTTCATCTGGCAATTCAAAAAGCTAGAGCATTTCATTACATCCAAAGGATCACACTAGCTTCCTAGCAATGGATCCTAATGAGATTGAAATGTCTGAAATGACAGATATAGAATTCAGAACCTAGATAGTGAGGAAACTCAACAAGATCTAAGAGAAAGTGGAAATCCAATCCAGTGAAACCAGAAACACAATCCTAGATTTGAAAGATGGCATAGATATATTAAGAAACAACCAAACTGAATGTCTAGAATTTTAAAATTCACTAGAGGAATTTCAAAATATAATTTGAAGCCTTAACAGTAGGCTAGACCAAACAGAGGAAAGAATTTCAGAGCTCAAGGATCAGTCCTCCGAATCAATCAAGCCAGACAAAAATAAAGAAAACCTAATAAATTTTAATATGGACAAAGCGGGATTATATAAAGTGAACCAAATCCACAACTCAATGGCATACCTGAAAGAGAAGAAGAGAGAATAAACAACCTGCAGAACATATTTGAGAATATAATCCACAAAAGTGTCCCCAATATTACCGGAGAGGTTGACATGCAGATTCAATAAGTTCAGAGAACTCCTGCAAGATACTATGCAAGATGACCATCCTGAGGCACATAGGTATCAGGCTTTCCAAGGTCAATGGGGGAAAAAAAATCTTAAAGGCAGCTAGAGAAAAGGGTCATGTTACCTACAAATGGAATCCCATCAGCTTAACAGCAAACTTCTCAGCAGAAACCTTATAAGACAGAAGAGATCAGGGTCTATTTTTAGCATTATTAAAGAGAACAACATTTCAACGAAGAATTTCATATCCTGCCAAATTAGGCTTCATAAGCAAAGGAGAAATTAAATATTTCCCAGATAAGCAATTGCTAAGAGAGTTCATTACCACTAGACAGGCCTTACAAGAGATGCTTAAGGGAGTTTTAAACATAGAAATGAAAAAAGGACACCTGCTACCACAGCCCACAGACCTTATAAAGCAACTACACAATCAAGTCTACAAAGCAACATGGTGACAACACCATGACAGGAACAAAACCACACATATAAATATTAATCTTGAATGTAAACAGTCTAAACACACCACTTAAGACACAAAGTGGCAAACTGGATTGAAATAAAGCAAGACAGAACCTTCTGCTGTCTTCGAGAGACCCATCTCACATGCAATGACACCCAAAAGCTCAAAGTAAAGAGATTAAGAAAGATCTGTCATGAAAATGAAAAACAAAAAAAGAACAAGAGTCGCCTGGGGGCAGTGGCTCACACCTGTAATCCCAGCACTTTGGGAGGCCGAGGGGGGCAAATCATGAGGTCAGGAGATCAAGGCCATCCTGGCTAACATGGTGAAACCCAGTCTCTACTAAAAATACAAAAAATTAGCCAAGCATGGTGGTGGGCGCCTGTAGTCCCAGCTATTCGGGAGGCTGAGGCAGGAGAATGACGTGAACCCAGGAGGTCGAGCTTGCAGTGAGCCGAGATCCCGCCACTGTACTCAGCCTGGGAGACAGAGCAAGATCTCAAAAAAAAAAAAAAAAAAAGAGCAAGAGTCACTATTCTTGTATTAGATAAAACATACTTTAAACCAACAATGGTAAAAAAGGGAATTACACAATGATAAATAGTTCAATTCAACAAGAAGACTTACTTACCCTAAGTATATATGCACCCAACATTGGAGCTCCCAGGTTTATAAAACAATTACTTCTAAACCTAGGAAGAGACTTAGTCACACAATAACAGTGAGGAACTTCAATACCCCACTGACAGCATTAGACAGATCATCAAGTTATAAAACTAACAAAGAAATTCTGGACTTAAAAATTGAACACTTAACCAATAGGACCTTATAAATATATAAAGAATATTCCACCCAACAACCACAGAATATAAATTATTCTTATCTGCACATGAAACATACTCTAAGATCAACCACATATTCATTCATAAAAAAGTCTCAATAAATTCAAAAAAATTGAAATTTTAACAAGCATATTCTCCAACCACAGTGGAATTAAAATAGAAACCAACAATAAAAGAATTCTCAAAGCCACACAATTACATGGAAACTAAACAACTTGCTCCTGAATGACTTTTGGATACACAAAAAATAAGGCAGAAATTTAAAAATTCTTTGAAATAAATGAAGATAGAGACACTACATACCAAAACCTCTAGGATGTATCTAAAGCAGTGTTAAGAGGAAAGTCTATAAAGTTAAAAACCTACATCAAGAAGATAGAAAGATCTCACATTAACAGTCTAATATCATATGCAAGGAACTAGAAAAGAAAGAATAATTCCAAAGCTAGCAGAAGAAAAGAAATAACTAAAATCAGAGTCAAACAAAACAAAATCAAGACTCAAAAAATCATACAAAGTATCAACCAAATAAAAAGTTAGTTATTTGAAAGGAAAAACAAGATTGATAGACCACTAGCTAGATTAACAAAGAAACAAAAAACGAGAAGATCCAAAGGAGTACAACCAGAAATGACAAAGAACAGATTACAAATGATCCCAGAGAAATTCAAAAGATCCTCAGAGACTATTATGAATACTTCTATGTGCGCAAACTGGAAAATCTAGAGAAAATGAATATAATCATGGAAACACACAGTCTCACATGACGGAATAGGAAAAAATTGAAACCCTAGACAGATTAAGAATGGTTATGAAATTGAATCAGTAATAAAAAAACCTACCAAACAAAAAAGCTCTAGATTAGATGGATTAATAGGCAAATTCTACCAGTGAAAAGCCGGTACCAAGTCTACTGAAACTATTCCAAAACATCAAGGAGGAAGAATTCCTTTCTGTATTAGTCCATTTTTACACTGCTGATAAAGACATACCGGAGACTGGGTAATTTATAAAGAAAAAGAGGTTTAATGGACTCACAGTTCCATGTGGCTGGGGAGGCCTCACAATCATGGCAGAAGGCAAAAGGCATGTCTTACATGGCAGCAGTCATGAGAGAGAATGACAAACCAAGCAAAAGAGGTTTCCTCTTATGAAACCATCAGATCTCATGAGACTTATTCACTACCAAAAGAACAGTATGGGGGAAACCACTGCCATGATTCAATTATCTTCCACTGGGTTCCTTCCACAACACATGGAAATTATGTGAGCTACAATTCAAGATGCGATTTGGGTGGGGACACAGCCAAACCATATCACTCCCTAACCCATTCTACGAAACCAGTATCATCCTAATACCAAAATCAGTGAAAGAGACACCAAAAAAAGAAAACTGCAGCCCAATAATCCTAATAAAATCCTCCACAAAATATGAGCAAATCAAATCCAGTAGCATATCAAAAAGTTATTTCACCATGATCAAGAAGGCTTCATTCCTGGATGCAAAGTTAGCTCAACATACACAACTCAATAAATATGATTCACAACATAAACACAAATAAAAACAAAAAAGATATGATCAACTCAATAGATGCCAAAAAGCATTCAATAAAAATTCAACGGCCCTTCATGATAAAAAAAAAAAAAACTCAACAAATTAGGCATTGAGGGAACATACCTCAAAATAATAAGAGTCATTGATGACAAACCCACAGTCAACATCATACTGACTGGGAAAAAGCTGGAAGCATTTCCCCTAACAACTGGAACACAAAAAGAATGTCCACTCTCACCACTTCTATTCAACATAGTACTGGAAGTCCTACCCAGAGCAATCAGGCAAGAGAAATAAATAAAAGCCATCTAAGTAGGAAAAGAGGAAGTCAAATTATCTCTCTTTGTTGATGATATGATTATTTACCTAAAAACCCTGAAGCCTCCACCAAAGGGCACCTAGACCTCATAAACAACTTTAGTAACATTTCAAGATACAAAATCAACATAAAAAAATCAGTTTTTCTGTACACCAATAACATACAGGCTGTGAGCAAAATCAAGAACATAATCCCATTTACAATAGCCACAAAAAAATAAAATACCTTATATAGCTAACCAAGGAGTTGAAAGATCTTTACAAGGAGAACTACAAAACACGGCTGACAGAAATCATAGATGACACCAAAAAAATGGAAAAATATTCCATGCTCATAGATTGGAAGAATCAATATCCTTGAAATGACCATACTGCCCAGAGCAATCTACAGTTTCCATGCTACTTCTATCCAATTACCTACATCATTTTTTCACAGACTTAAAAATAAAACTATTCTAAAATTCATTCATATGGAACCAAAAAAGAGCATGAATAGACAAAGTAATCCCAAACAAAAAGAACAGAGCCAGAGGCTTCACATTATCAAATTTCAAACCATACTGTAAGGCTACAGTAACCAGAACAGCATGGCACTGATACAAAAATAGACAGAGCAATGGAACAGTCTAGAGAATCCCAAAATAAAGTCATGTGCCTACAGGCATCTGATCTTTGACAAAATCAACCCATAAAAAAACAACAGGAAAAGGATCCCCTGGTCAATAAATAGTTCTGGGAAAACTGGCTAGCCATATGCAGAAGACTGAAACTGAACCCCTACAAATGCAGAAATTAACTCAAGATGGGATTAAACACTTAAATGTAAGACCTCAGACTATGAAAATCCTAGAACAAAACCTAGGAAGTATGTGTCTAGAAATTGGACTTGGCAAAGAATTTATGACTTAGTCCTCAAAAGCAGTTGCAAAAAACCATATCCAGTGACCTTCATTCCTGCATGTAGATACATATTTCCCTCCAGTATTATTTTCTCTCTGCCTGATGGCCTTTATCATTTCCTGCAAATCAGGTATGCTAATAAATAATGAATATTTTCAGTTTTTGAATGTCTGCAAAAGCATTAATTTTGTCTTCATTTTAAAAGATATATTTTTTCAGCTATTGGATTATTTTTGATGAAAAATATACTGTCATTTTCAGTATGAATTATATCATACTGCTTCATTGTATGCCTAGTCACTTTTGATTAGATATAAACATTGTGAATCTTATCTTGTTGGGTGCTGGATATAATATATGATATAACTTAAATATTGTATAATATTTTATATTATTTTAATAAGTAAATTAAATAATAAATTTTATAATATTTTATAATATTTTAAGTTATATTAACTTAATATAACATAATATTTTTAAATAACTAATATAACTTAAAATATTTTTAAGCTTTGTTCTGAGATGCAGTTAAGTTTCTTGTAAATAGCTTAACCCTTTTGAGGTGTACTTTTCATCTTTTTTTTAAGGGAGATCAAAGGAACTTTTAGTCTAGGGCTAATTTTTCCTTAGTACTGAAGCTATATACTTCTGAGTACCCAGTGCCTACATATTACAGAATTATTTTTCCACTTTGACTCATGGGGACACAAACTACTGCCAGCCAGGTGTGAGTCTCATGAATGGTTCTGGGTGTTCCTTTCAGGTAGTTCTTTCTCAGTGTTGTATTCTTTTATATGTATGCTCATTAATACTCAGATGAAGACTTGAGGGAGCTGTCTGCACATTTCTGATACCCTGTCTCTGTGTAAATGAACTTCTATTTATATTTTGTACTCTACCATATTAACTTGAAAATAGATCATAGACTTAATTATAAAACTTAGAAAGGTAAAATTCACTGTATTTAAATCATATATTAATTTAAAAATCAAAAAAGGAAAAATTCTATTATGGTAAACATTGTAGATTGAACCCACATTAACAAGAGTTCTTTTTGTTTTTAAGAATTGTTAAGAACATAAAGGGCTCCTAAAAGCAAAAATGATTAAGTACCACTGATCTACTGGAACTTCTCACACAGGCACAAATGAATGGTGGGGAGTATGTCCCTCTCAAATAGTTCTCTTCATTATTTATTCTCCAGGGCTTATGGATACTCTTTTCTAATAATAATGATTATCTTTTTTTTTCAAGAAGGAGTTTCACTGTTGTTGCCTAGGCTGGAGTGCAATGGCACAATCTCAGCTCACCACAATCTCCACCTCCCAGGTTCAAGCAATTCTCCTGCTTCAGCCTCCCGAGTAGCTGGAATTACAGGCATGTGCGACCACACCTGGCTAATTGGTTCTTTTTTTTTTTTTTTTTTGGTTGTTTGTTTGTGTGTTTTTTTTTTAGTAGAGATGGGGTTTCTCCTTGTTGGTCAGACTGGTCTCAAACTTCCCAACCTCAGGTGATCCACCTACCTCAGCCTCCCAAAGTGCTGGGATTACAGGCGTGAGCCACCGTGCCTGGCAATGATTATCATTTTTAAGTCCTTCCGTGAGTCTCACAAGCACTGCATATAGTACCACATTTAATCCTTATGCAACCATATATATTAACCTCTTGCAAACAAGAAAAATGGGTGTCAAAGATATTAATTAACGTGCCCAAGTCACATAAATCAAGAATTGGAATTCAGTCCAATCCTGTCCAATTCAAAAGCCCATGTTTCTCCACTACATCAGGGTCAGAGTAAAGTGATGAAATAATGCCCTCAGCTCAGGAGCATTGCTGAAGTCAGGTCAGAGTTACCTCTTCTGCCTGTCCGTTCTGAGGGACTAGCTTCCAGAATAAGAAATGGATAGGGTGATACCAGGTGGTACTGGGGCCTAGAGTTGCCTGAGGTGTCCTGGGAAGATTCCACTGCATTATTTGAAGGATGAAGGAGGATAGAGGGGGAAGTTTAGGACTCTAATATATTTCCCCTTTTGCCAAGGGTCTGAAGATCACAGATAAAGGAATAGGTGCATAATGACCAAAGACTTTGTGAGGATCTTACAGGCACAAAATGAAGAGAGTGATATTATTATGCCTTGGGAATGTAAATGTAAGCTTTCCCATTCCCAAGACCCTTTCTGGGAGTCTGCAAGGTCAAAACGATTTTCATAATACTTAGTTATTGTTTCACTTATTCATTCTTTATCTTATACAGTGGAGTTTTCCAGAGACTACATGATATGTGATATTGTAACACACAATCTACAGAAGCAGATATGAGAATCTAGCTGCATTACAGAGATTTGCAAAAATGCAAACCAACATTAATCTTTTTGTTATTGGGTGGGTCTTTGTTCTTAGAGCTCCCAAGATGGCGGTGGGCCACTCCCAAGATGGTGGCGGCCACTCCCAACATGGCAGCAAGCCTTTTGTTCTCTGACCTGGGGTTCTTGGCCTTACAGATTCCAAGGAATGGAACCTTGGGCCATGCAGTGAGTGTTATAGCTCTATTAGTAGCTGTGGGTCACGGAAGAGAACAGTGGAACCCAGCCACTAGTGTTCAGCTCGATTAGGATGAACCCGGGCACTTAGCCATGCAGGAACAATGGCGAGCCTCTAGCCCAAACGGGAGCGGCAATGGGCAATGGGCAATGGGCGCCTTGCTGGATCAGAAACGCAGTGGACACCCTGTCGGATCTGGAGGGGTAGAAGTCAATGGCGGGTCTGCCACGATGGTGAACAGCAGTGGATGATGAGCAAAAGCTCAGCTCGAGCCGGAACATTCACGGACCAGAAGAGTGTGCAGTTGCAAGATTTAATAGAGTGAAAACAGAGATCCCATACAATGGGAGGGAACCCAAAGAGGTTTGCCCACTCCCGGCTTGAATGCCTGGGGTTTATATCCCAATCATCATCCCTCACCCCATGCTCTCAGATGATAGATGATTTGACTATTTCTTTACCTCCTGATTTTAGCCTAATTGGTATTTTAGTGAGCCCTCTTTACTACCTGATTGGTCAGGTGTGAGCTGAGTTACAAGCCCCTGTTTAAAGGTGAGTGTGGTCACCTTCCCCAACCAGGCTTAGGAATTCTTAGTCGGCCTAGGAAATCCAGCTAGTCCTGTCTCTCATTTTCACCAAACTGTTTTTTGTTCTGGAAAATATAGTTAATTTTCTTAAATATATCTTATGTTAATATGAAAAGTGCTTATTACTGTTATTATAAATAAATTAATACATATTTTTATTTAAATTCATCATTTTAATTTCTAATATAATTATCAACACATAGATTCCACAGAAACAAAAACTCTTTGGAGTCTCAACAGTTTTTAAGAGTGTTAAGCCATCCTTAGATCAAAAAGTTTGAGAATCACTGGCTAATACCACCACTGAAAGATAACTAAGCTGTGACCCACAGAGTTGAAATGGATTACCCAAAGTACCTACAACCTGGCAGAGCTCAGACACAAAGCCAGGATTTCCCACTCCAAATGTTTTAATAACACCGGTCTGACCCTCTCTCCATCCTAAGTGAAGCCTTTCTCTATTTCCCCATTCTGTCTGCCCAACTGTAGACACTATATCCAAAGGCACATTGTTTTTTGTTTGTATGCAAACTTATCTAATTTTAGTTATAAACAAGGGTCACAACTTGCCACCAGCCATGCTGCCCCACCCCTCTTCAACACAGATGACCTCTCCATCCTCACCTGGTTTGGAACTACTTTAAATATAACTCATTCTCCTCCTAGAAGCTCATAATTGGAAACAGACTTTGGATCTTTTCTCCATCTCCAGGGTGGTCCTCATTGAGCTCTTCCCTTGCACTACTATTTCAAATTCTGTTTCTCCTTTTTAATTCTTTTGCATGATACTGTGTTTGCATAAATCGAGGATTTCTATAAATGAGCTCTGGAAAGCTTAGCCTGTTTCAAGGTTATTTAGAGAGCAAAAGGAATGTGTCTTCATGTGTGGGGGCAGGAAAGATGGCACAACCCAGTCAGCTCACTCACTAGCAAACAATGTGTACACTTTGGGAAGCAAGGACATCATTGCTGTGGATGCCAGCGGACAACTTCATCCACTGGAGAAGTTTCTTTTGTCTTCAGTCGGTGCCTAGGGAAACAAGTGGAAAAGGACTAGAAAACAATTTCAAAGACAGATAGCACCAAATTACCTTCCTCTAAGATAAATAAAGGTTCATGCAAATATTGAGACTAATTGCTTAAAACTTGCAAACATCTGCAGAGGAAAATCAATTATCTAATTCATAAAATCACTGCTGAATTAGGAAAGATAGAGGGCATGTCTAATAGAGGTCTTCTCTACATTCCACTGTCCCAGGTACAATGCAATGTACCTAGTACATTGAAATCACTGCACACTTGGGCAATTTGGCCACCTCTGGCCTCAGACTTTGTTGCAGGTGGCTGGGGTGGTACCTCAGCATTTTGAGCAGTCACAGCTATTGGATAAATAGAACTGATCAATAGGTTCTCTCTGGTAAGTCCTACTTCCCACACAGGTAATGCATCTTACCAATAATACACCAAACATTCTTGATAATTCTTTGTAAATTTTTCCCTTTCTAATTTTCTTTAAGATTTTTTATTTGTTGTCTTTTATGTGAACACTTGATTAAAGGGAAATTCCTTGATAGGTTTGTGGGAGATCATGCCAGAAACGGTAGAAATTTGAACCAGTCCCCTGTTTATCCCTTCCAGAGTCTTCAGGATGGCTCGGGGACTGATTTCAGTAACGAAGTACCAACCTGGGGGATGTTTCATTGTCTGCTGTTAATTAATTTGTTTTCCCAATGTTTAGATTCTTCCTGGAGAATAAATTTTTAGCCAAGTGGTGAAGAGATTCTCATTATTTTACTCAGGACTTTGAAGATTGGGTGTACCTTAGCTGAGCTTCCACACTATCACCAAGACATGTGTAGAGAAACTTTTCTCTAGGGGCCACTTCTGCAGAGCACTGACGAATGGAATCAGGAAAAGAAAGGGAGGTTTGAGCTTCTGCACCTACCCTCTGCTAGAAAGGGTCATTTCCTCCTTCATATTTTCTGTTTTCCACTGGACTTTTCAGAGATGTTTTAAGAACCATTTATTGCTGTGAACATTGAACTAATGAAACAAAACAATGAAACTAAATGTTTAGAAATGTTTTTAACTATTTTTACACTTCATAGTCATCCATTGAGCCACAGATTGAGCAGCAATCAACTTGTGAACATAAGAAATTTCTAGGCAAACAATAAATTTCTGTGTACTCTATATCCTCATGCAAAAACAGGTGCCAGAAGAGGCACATATGAAAGCTGAATTACACAACACAGATCTCCTTCTGCAGAAAAGGACAGTAGTAGGAACAACTGGTGCTTCGTTTTCAAATCCAATTCTCATTTATCGTCACAGAATTATTGCACTATCCTGAAACGCAGAGTAACTCAAGACCATGTTCAAAAACAGATTTGACAGACAAAGGTAACTTGCCTTTGTTTTAAACATTTAATAAATGCCTCTGAGACTAACAAAGCTTCCCAGGCGGTCTGTGAGGAACACATGAGCCATATTGCAGGTAACTCCAAGGCAGCCGGCACAACTGCTTAAGGACTTTCCAAATAGCAAAATGCTGCTGATGGAAAATGTGACTCTCAGCACATTGGCATGTGGCTTCTGTGACTGTTATCCAAGGAGAGGAAATGAGACCAGAGTGGGGATGAGTTGGTTTCAGCAACCCTGCCTGGCCACACCTGTCAGATTGAATGACAGAGACTCTAAAATAAAATATTAATACCCATCTCCTGAAAAATAAGCTCACGTGACTTTAATGAATTCATTTTGACTTCTCTTTATCTCACACGGGGATAAAAGCAGTTAAAAACAAACAGTTTGATAATCCTGACAACGGGAAAAAGTAGCATTTTTCTCCCTTCAAACAAATCACTTTTTCTTTATGCATTTTCCTTCAAAATAGTTCTATGCTTTCTTCAGAAAGAATTACACATGACTTGAGATTCCAGTGTATTATTTGGGGTGGGAAAAGCTGGCAACTGAAGCATAAAGCGCCATGTTTTTGCAATTATCTCTCTTTGGCATCCCCCTCATGTGCTCCCTAGTGAAGAGGCAGAGCTGAAATGTGGGGCTGGTCGTCTAAGAAAGAATGTAGTAGTGCTAATGGTGAAAATGTGCTAATTTTAAAAGGTAGTAAAGAGCATCCACGATACAGTTCTGTAGACTCACTTCTTATTTCTCACAAAAATACAGCTGTTTTGCTGTTGATTTTAATGCTACTTAAGTCTATAAAAATATTTTATTCAGACTATAAATAGTTTTGCTCAAATTAGCTTTGGAGCTCAACTGCATTATGCTTCTGCCCTCAGAGGGCAACTTGGAAATAATGGTGAAAAGAATGTGACCTCCAAGATCATCTCATGGGAAAAACGGCATAGTCCAGGTGAGGTTTTCCTCTTCTTATTCTCTTCTATTTTGATACATGAGAAAACAGATGGGGTTTTAAGAATACAGAATGTATCTTTGTTCTTCTTTGCTAAGCTTGAATAGAATTGGTTAAGAATTAAAGAATTTATCAACAAATGAAAATAGCGTAGAACACATGTGTTGTTTTCTAATTAAAATATCTTAAAAATTAATAAACACCAAATGTAGAGGTCTAGATAGAGTCACGCACTAGCATGAACACACACACATACGTAAGTGTGGAGGCGCAGGAGTAGTTTTCTGGGGTGTGTGTGTTTACTCATTACTGCCTCAGAACTACAACAGATATGGTTATGCCAGTCAGGTGTGTAGATGCCTACATTTAACACGCGAGTCTAGTCCTTGAGATATTAAAGTATGGATAGGGAATACAATACCCTGTAGCCTTGTTTTCAAAGGGACATTGACCTTTTCCTTGGTGCTTTTGGGGTAGGAGTGAGGTTAACAAGAGCTGTTAGCTAACTTCTGGGTCTTGGTCTTGGAAATAAGGCCTGGTGGGGAGTTGGAATGGCAGAAGGTGTTGCCAGAGAGGTTTGAGAGCAAGGAAGTCAAAGAGGTGCACAGGAGCCACAGAGAACGGTGAAAGCCAGAAGTTAGTCCTTGGGATGAAGGTGAGGAAATGAGTTTGAGAAACTAGTACAAACTACATATTATAAATGGAAAACTGGGCCAAGGATCGGAAACCAAAGAGACTGGGTACAGATGAAAACTGTAGTATGATACGGATTAAAAATGGACTATGATTGCCGTAGGTTGCTTTTGCTGCTATCACAAAATCCTGAGACTGGGTAATTTATAAAGAATAGAAATTAATTTTTTGCATTTCTGGAGTCAGAGGAGGCCATGATCAAGGTGCTGACATTTTGTGTCTGGTGAGGGCCCTCTTGCAGCATCCTCACTCACATGGCAAAAGACAAAGGGCAGGAAAAGGGCACATTCTCTCCAAAGCCTCTTTTATAAAGGCATTAATCCATTCATGAGAGTGGAGTCTTTATTATTTAATTACTTCCCCAAGGCCCTACCTCTAAATAGCATCACAATGGGGACTAAGGTTGAACATAAATTTTGGAGGTGACATCATCATTTGAACCATGGCATTCCACCCCTGGCCCCCCAGAAATCCATAACCTTGTTACCTACAAAGTACATTCATTCCATTCAAATTGCCCCCAAAGTCTTAACTGTTTCCAGTATCAACTCAAATGTCTAAACTCTAGAACCTCATCTAAATCAGATATGGGTGAGATTCAAGGTACTCTTCATCCTGAAGCAAATTACTCTCCAGCTGTGAGCCTGTGAAATCAAACAATATGTGCTTCCAAAATACAATGATGGGATAGGCATAGGATAGACATTCCCATTCCAAAAGGGAGAAATACGCAAAAAGAGAGGAGTAATAGCTTCCCAAGTAAGTCCAAAATCCAACAAGGCACACAACATTAAACTTTGAAGCTTGAGAACAATCTTTATTGACTCCAGATTGCACCTTCCAGACACACTAGGGTGAAGTTTGGGTCCCCCAGGCTTCAGGGACTCCACCTGCATGGTGTTACTGGGCACAGCCCATACTGCAGCTCTCATGTGCTGGCGTTGAGTGTCTGTGGCTCTCCCCAGGGTGGGGAGTTGCATGATGGTTGCTTTACAGATCTAGCATCTCAGGAGTAGCCCTGCCCCATACAATTCCATGAGGCATTGCCCTTTTGAGGGTTCGCTGCAGTGTCCCTACCCCTGTTGTTGCAGGAAAGGGGTTCGGATCCAGACCCAGAGAGGGTTCTTTGATCTCACACAAGAAATAATTCAGGGAGAGTCCATACAGTAAAGTGAAAGCAAGTTTATTAAGAAAGTAAAAGAATAAAAGAATGGACACTCCATAGACAGAGCAGCCCCGAGGGCTGCTAGTTGCCCATTTTTATGGTTATTTCTTGATGATATGCTAAACAAAGGGTGGGTTATTCATGTCTCCCCTTTTTAGACCATATAGAGTCACTTCCTGACATTGCCATGGCATTTGTAAACTGTCATGGCACTGGTGGAAGTGTAGCAGTGAGGACGACCAGAGGTCACTGTCATAGCCATCTTGGTTTTGGTGAGTTTTAGCCAGCTTCTTTACTGCAACCTGTATTATCAGCAAGGTCTTTATGACCTGTATCATGTGATGACCTCCTATCTCATTCTGTGACTTAGAATGCCTTAACCATTTGGGAATGCAGCCCAGTAGGTCTCAGCCTCATTTTACCCAGCTCCTATTCAAGAATGGAGTTGCCCTGGTTCACATGCCTCTGACCCTGTGGCAATTCTTTGCCAGGGCCCTGCGACTCTCTGAAGCATCCTATGAAATCCAGGTAGAGGTAGCCATGCCTGCACAGCTCATGCACTCTGAGCACCTGCAGAGTTAGCACCATGTGGACACTGCCAAGGTTTGCAGATGTGCCCTCCGGGGGACAGCCTGTGCTGCACCTCAGCTCACCGGAGCCCCAGCAGTGCGGTGACAGGGTGGGGGAAGTGGAGAGAGGAGTGCTGCACTGGAATGCAGGAAGAAGAGACGTGAGGAAGCCCTGGGTCCCTTCCTCCCTTGAAAGGGTCCTGTCTTTAAGGTGGTCCTAGTGCTGTAGGCCTGCGATGAGAGTAGCAGCATTGATTATCTCTGAAATGCCTTTGGGGTTATTCTCCAATTTTCTTAATGAATAGCATCTGGCTTCCTTCTAGCCACACTAATCTCCTCATCAAAAGGTCACTTGGCCACACCCTTGGTTTTCTCTTCTAAGCAATTTTTTATTCTTTACATGGCCAAGCTGGGAATTTTCCAGAATGTTTACGTTCACTTTTCCTTTTGATTATAAATTCCATCTTGAACTTGTTTTTCTCTTCTCACATTTTACTACAAGCAGTTAAGAGAAGTCATGCAGTGCCCTGAACACTCTGCTTAGAGATTACTTCTGTCAAATATCCTAGTTCATAGCTCTCAAATTCTGCATTTCATAAAACAGTAGGACATGGACACAATTTAACCGAGTTCTTCGTCACTTTGTAACAAGGATGGCCTTCCCTCCAGCTTTCAATAATATATTCCTCATTTTTGTCTAAGACTTCATCAAAATGGCTTTCACTGTCTACATTTCTACCAATATTTCTGTTCACATCTTAGATAATCTCCAAGATTTAGGCTCTCTCCATAGCTCTCTTCTTCTGAGCCCTCACCAGAATTGCCCTTAATGCTCTATTAGTGGTAATATAGGTTTTTTTCTGGCATTTATTTCAAAACCATTCTAGCCTCTACCCATTACCGAGTTCCAAAAGTGCTTCTGCATTTTCAGGTATTAAAGCAACACTCCACCTCTTTGGTACCAATTTCTGTCTTAGTTCATTTGTGCTGCTATGACAAAATACTTCAAACTAGGTAATTTATAAAGAGAAATTTATTTCTCACAGTCCTGGAGGCTGGGAAGTTCAGGATCAAGGTGTCAGCATTTGATATATGGTGAGGGCCATCTTGTTGCATCCCTACATGGCAGAAGGCAGAGGGCCATGAAAGGGCACATTCTCTCTGAAGCCTCTTCTATAAGGGCATTAATCCATTCATGAGGCAAGAGCCCTCACAACTTAGTCACTTCCCAAAAGGCCCTGATATGGCTTGGCTCTGTGTCCCCATACAAATCTCATGTTGAATTGTAATCCTTAATGTTGAGGGAGGGACCTGGTAGAGGTGATTGGATCATGGGGGCGGATATCCTCCTTGCTGTTCTCATGATAGTGAGTGAGTTCTCATGAGATCTGGTTGTTTGAAAGTGTGTAGCTCCTCCTCCTCCTCCTCCTTCTCCTTCTTCTTCTCTTTCTCTCTCTCCCTCTCTCCTGCTGCCATGGGAAGATGTGCTTGCTTCCCCTCCGCCCTTCTGCTATGATTGTAAGTTTCCTAAGGCTTCCCCAGCCATGCCTCAGCCTGTGGAACTGTGAGTCAATTAAACCTCTTTTCTTTATAAATCACTCAGTCTCCACCAGTTCTTTATAGCAGTGTGATAATAGATTAATACAGGCCCTACCTCTTAATACTGCCACAGTGGGAATTAAGTTTCAATATAAATTTTGGAGGGGACACCAGTTTTCAAACCACAGCAGTGATGCAAAACAATCAGGATATAGATGGTCATGAGGCAGAAAGGCAGTGAGATGGGAACAGTTATAGAAAATTGTGACACTGGATGAGCACGGAAAGTCTCAGAATGCCTCATGCTGGAACCACAGATTTAACAGACAAAGGAATTGCAAAACTCCGTTTGCTCTGCGGGCCTAGCCTAGGGTTGTCTCCTTATCCTGCGGGGGAGGGGGGAAATCCAGAAGTAAAGACAAGGCCTGACCCACTTAATAAGCCTTTACTGTGTGCGAATTTATGTGTATTTTGTTTTGAATGGTGGTTCATTTACCTTCGGTAATTTTTTTTAAACCTCAAAGAGAAAAATGGTGATAAAACATTTACCTAAATAGATGTAACTATCTTAAACTTTTACTCTTTTCTTATGCCAAACTCAATACGCCAATGCATTCTGAGAAACAAACATACAAGTAAACCCAAATTGGACACTAAAAGCACTTAAAGGCAATGCAGGTCATCCCTGAAGGTGCCTTGCAGAGAGAAGAAAGAGACTGTGTTGTGCATCTTTGGAAAGCGAAGTTTCCTAAAAACCCTCCCTGAACATCTCTTTCCCTCCAGGAATTCCACTCCTTGAGGCAGTGCCCACTGCCTTCCCCCGTCTCCACCTGCTTCTCCTATCTCCTCATCCTCCTTGCCCTCTTCTGCTTAGTTCCTCTTACCTCTCATCTTGGTTTTTGCTCTTAGCCTTTTCTCCTGTAGCACAGTTTGGCCTTCTCAGCGCTTCCCACTCTCTCTACCTATTACCTCTTTCTTTAGCAGAACAAACTTCAGGTACCTAACTTGAAAAAGTGTCCCTTCTCTTTAGAAGACATGAGAAAGGAAGGATTGAAAATACTTAAATTTTACTTTTCTCTGTCACACAAGGAATTCAAATCATTGCTCTGAGTTCCTTGCTCAATATGATACAAATTTGAGTCAAACATTTCAATTTAGATGTTGGGGGGGAGTGGAAAAAAACTGGATACAGCCAGTAGTCCTGGGTTGCTGTCCCAGCCCAGCCACTAAACTGATTGATGTGTCCCCTCATTAAGACTAGACCTTTCTTGAGCTCTGTGCAGCATGATGATGTGGGTCTGGACAATGGGAGCTTCAGGCGTAGCCACTACTTGTGTAGTGCATTACAGATTATAAAGCACATAAATCATCTCATTACATTTTTACATAGTCTGTGAGGCACTGGGGCCCCCATCTGACAATGATAATTGAGGGATTGGGTAATTTGTCCAAGGTCACACAGAGAGTAGCCAAGGCTGTATCAAAACACAGATTCTTTTTTTTTTTTTTTTTTTTTTTTTTGAGACAGAGTTTCTTACTGTCACCCAGGCTGGTGTGCAGTGGCATAGTCATAGGATCACAGCTCACTGCAATCTCAAGCTGCTGGACTTCAGCAATCCTCCTCCCTCAGCCTCCTGAATAGCTGGGTCTACAGGCATGTGCCACTGTGCCTGGCTAATTTTGTTAATTTTTTGTAGAGATGAGGTTTAACTGTGTTACCCAGGCTGGTCTCAAATTCTTGTACTCAAGTGATCCTCTCACCTTGGCCTCCCAGGGCACTGAAATTACAGGTGTGAGCCATCATGCCTGGCCAAACATAGATTTTGACATAGAAGCATGAAATTTTAGTGCATGGAATTTGATGATGCAAATCCCCTCGAAGACCCTTTTATTTATCCACCAAAACACACAGTCAAATACGTTTATCATCAGTGAAACCCAACAGCTTCATGGACAACAGATATTTCTGTTGTATTTTAACTCTTTATAAAAATTCATTCCCACCTATTAATTGTATTAGCATAGGACTCAATATTTCTTCCACTTTAATTGTCTTATATTTTGTATGAAATGATTGCATTAGTCTGTTCTCACACTGCTAATAAAAACATACCTGATACTGGGTAATTTATAAAGGAAAGAGGTTGAATTGACTCAGTACAGCATGGCTAGGGAAACCTTAGGAAATTTACAATATGGCAGAAGGGGAAGCAAATACATCCTTCTTCACATGATGGCAGGAAGGAGAAGTGCAGAGTGAAAGGTGGGAGGGAAAGCCCCTTATAAAACCATCAGATCTTGTAGGAATTCACTCACGGTCATAAGAACAGCATGGAGGTAAAAACCCCTATGATCCAATTACCTCCCACTGGGTCCCTCCCATGACACATGGGGATTATGGGAACTACAGTTCAAGATGCAATTTGAGTGGGGACACAGGCAGACCATATCACTGATACTATACAGAAGGCACTGCTGTCAGAGAGTTAACGTGCTGGTTCCAGACTTTTCAAAATGTGCTTGCATAAGCATCACTGGGGAGCTTATTAGAATGCAAATAACCAGGCCCCTATTTGAGACATTCAGGTGTCTGGAGTTGGAGCCCAGGTGACTGATGCAATGGCCCATGGCCCACATATTTTAAAATGCTGCTCTTATTCATACCGCATGTATATCCACAGCAACCGAGTTTTCTTGAAATAGTCAGAACAGACCATTTCTTTCATGAAGTGCCTTGAGGTTGAAGAGAGAGAAAAAATCCACATCACAACCTCTCTGATATTGGCCCTGTGATGGTATTGGAAATCAGGTGTTCCATTTAAAACATTTTCCCTCCTTGGAGATCATTTTCCTTTAAAGCAAACATTAAGCTTTCGTGTTATTGTGAAATAGTTTTTGTGGGGTAAAAAATTATTTTGGAGTTCGGGGAATTTCCCAGACAGATCTGCAAGTGGGGGAACCCAATGAAGAACAAAGGAGGCATGGAAAAGGAAAAAAGAAATACTACCAAGGGCAAGGTGCCTCAGCATGGGTTCATGTTCACATGGGAAGTTTTAGGAAAATATGAATGCCCTGGTCCCACCCTCAAGGATTCTGCTGTAATTGGTCTGGGTGCAGCCTAAGCATCGGGATTCATAAAACTTTCCAGATGATTCCAGTGCAGCCAAGGTTGAGAACCATTGCTTTACAGTTTTTTTTCCCTGCTAACTCTGCTTAGCAAAAAGATGTGAGGTTTGTATCGGGATGAAAGCTGCGGTTGTAAAACGGAGCATCCAGTGAGCTCAAATGGGACTACAAAACCTTATTTTCTATGTTGCTGCTCTCCTGGGGACATTGGAGATGTTGATCTGATCAAATGTAAAGTTTTTAATAAAACAGCTTTTTGTCTTGCACTTTGGTTTTTGATGGCATCAATGAAAATTCAATAGATCTAGGTAATAGCAAAATGGTTGCAAGCCCTTTGGTGTTTAATATGCATGTAAATGTTTATGATTTATTGAAATGTGAACTACCAAGGGTCTCCTACCCCGCAAATGGAGTCTTTAACCGCGTGCGGGCCAGCTGCTTATAGAAAAGAGGGCAGTTCTCTTTTCTCTTTGTGTTGCGCGAATTGGGTTTGTGAGTTTTCATGATTTCCACACACGTAAAATCTCAGCCATAATGTTGCATTTCCATTAACTTAGTGGATTACAGTTGTGTGTTCTGGCATGACTTCCAGCAATAGTCCCCACACTGTTGAAGCCTTGCTGTTTGACGCCGACCTATAAAATGTGTTATAAATGATCTAAAATAAGGGAAAGGAAGGAAAAATAAAACCAGCCACAAAGGCATTTCAAAATGAGGTAAGATTTGGAATGGCTTTGGCACGTGCGGTGTTCTATAAAGTCAAGTCCAAGAAGCAGCCTTTCTTTTATTTTTAAGATACTTGCAAATGAAGCAGTAATATTGATAAGATAAAAGACTGGAGATTGTGACTCCATAGCAAAAGAAATCTTACACAGAAAGAACCAAGAGGCCATTTCCTTAGAGTTTACCTTGTACACACTATAGTCAGATGCAGGCAGTCACAGAAATCTCTAGGCTGTGTCTTCACCATGATCATGTAGTTACATAAAGACATATAAGACAGCAGTCAGGACACACTACAACAAAACGCCTCATTGGCACATGCTCCGTAACCAGTTGAATGGCTAAAAATGGCATCATCGACATTCTTTCAAATAACAAGCTTACAAGTGCAAATTCAAAAATAAAATGTCCCAACCACCACCTCCTATCAAACCAGATCCCAGGGCCACCTGCAGAGAAGATGTCTGTTTCAAGTCCAACAAACATCTTCCAGACATGTATATGCCACAGACCTTGGCTTTTCAATGAGAAGATGTATAGAGCCATCATTAAGAGCTCAGCTTTAGAGTCAGGTAAAGATGATTTTGACTCCTTGCTCTGTTATTTACTAACTGTGTGACTACATTAGGTACTTATCCTCTTGAAGAATCAGTTTGTTAATTAGAAAGTCAGGATAATAATATCTACTACTTCATAGGATTGTTGTAAAGTCCAAGTGAAATCATGAAGAGCCTAGTCAGTTGCACAGGACAGATTAGCTGCTCTATCTCAGCAGCTGCAATGGCCACATTCTCATGGTGTTACCTTAGAGCTGCCATCCAGTGGATGGTGAATATAGGGGAAAAAGAAAAGCAAAAATCTTTCCAATTTTTTGCTTTATAGATGTATTTTCTCTTTTATATCATTATCTTTGTTGCCAGCATTCACTTTTGGGTTTCTTTGATGTTTTTTACCCAAAATTTTTATTTTGGGTAGTAAATTTTCTGACACTGGGTCATTTTCTTCATTTTACTAGTTACCGAGTAAACTAGAAAACTAATACTAGTTTCTCCACAAGAGAAACACTAAGTATAATAACACAGAGTGACAGAGAGAAAGAGCAAGAGAGAGAGAGAATGTTCTGGGTTAAATTTTAGTAAAGTGAAATCCTTGTAATTTCACAGTTCCCAAAACTAGGCTAGAAGCTGATGCTGGAATGGTGGGGGGTGGGGCAGCTATGTCTTTTCTACTCTTGACCTCCTTGCATTTAACATGTGGTCAATACATATTTACAGAAGTAAATGAATGAATTCATTGTGCTCTGTTCTGTCCTTACAAATATTTGGGTGAACTGAAAATCTTGCTCTGAATAGTTCCATTCCTAAAGAAGTCATTAATATTTATCCCAAAAATGCTGGCTTCAAGGGCATCTGAAATATTCAGCACTTTCAAAGTAGTTTACCTGTGCATAATACCATTGCCAATGTGTTGGCCACAAACTTTATTATAAATGGGGTGGACAGTTATGAGCACTTTTTGGCTACTAAGCATTTGGGGCCCCTTCCCATATTGGGGAAATCTTCTACTATGTGAGTCATAATTTGAAGTGGAATGCCACTTCTCAGAATTCCTGAATATCCTTGTTCTCCCAGACCCCTAGCAACTGGTAGGGACCTAAACTCAGCTCCACAGATAATCACCATGGGATTCTAGAGTCTGGACTAAGTATGACCCAAGGAGAAGAGACAGTTGACAACATCCTCCTGAATCAGGGGAAGTACTGACTTCTGATGTCCAGTTTCTAGAGAGACATTAGAGTCAGTCATACAACCAGGTGTTCATCTTCAGTGCTGTGACCCCCTGTGTGCTCTGACTAAATTCTCACCTGGTAGACTCCTTATGTCTCTACCTGTTTTCTGCCTGTGTATTAGTCCATTCTCACACTACTATAAAGAAATATCTGAGACTGGGTAATTTATAAAGAAAAGTGGTTTCATTGGCTGACCATTCTGCAGGCTATACAGGAAGTATGGCTGGGGAGGCCTCAGGAAACTTGTAATCATGGTAGAAGGCAAAAAGGAAGGAGGTACATCTTACATGGCCAAAGCAGAAGGAAGAGAGAGAAATGCCACACATTTTTAGACAACCAGAGCTTGTGAAAACTCACTATCACAACAACTGCAAGGGGAAAGTCCATTCCCATGATCCAGTCACCTCCAACCAAGCCCCCCTCCAACACTGGGGATTACAATTCAACATGAGATTTTGGTAGGGACACAAATCCAAGCCATATCACCCAGTGTTCCAACTTTTGGTTAAGTCTGTAATCTACAACAAAGTCCTTACACAAAAGTTGGTTTATATTGTTTTCAACCAAAATCCTTGGCAACCACCATGAGGGTGGATGTGGTTTCATGAAAGATGAATGAGGGCATGTGACCCTTTTAAAGCAACCAGTCTTCTAAAATCAGTTATTATCCTTATTTAATAACACTAGTCAGGGTCCTTGTTCTCTTTTATATCCTACAATCCACCCAATCCCTAGCATGGAATGGGTGCTCAATATTTTTGTTGAATAAATAAATGAAGAAAATGTAATAACTAAAACTAAGAACTCACTAAATGAGCTTGACACCAGATTGGACATGCAAAAGACAGGTAAGCTGGAAGAGAGTTGAGTAGAAAATTTTCAGGCTGTATAAACTGCAAAGACATATAAGTTTGCGGCTTATGTCCCCATGAAACTTACAATCTGGCTAAGAAGAGGAGACTGACGTCCAAGAAATGATTTACAAACAATAAAAGACAGAATTGCATATAAATAAGGGGTAAGTGGGGAAAAGTGATGGAGGAATGTACGTATTGTATAGGTTTGACATTCCTCCTTTAGTGTTTGTCAAATTATCCCTCATTTGCCAAGGATAAAGATGTGGGCAGGAAATGATCCGGAACAGAATACCCATGTTCTCCCAGTATTAGTTTGAAATGATGTCAGCTGAAGCATTCATTCTCTGGGATCTGTGTATCGACAGAGCCATAATACCAGGTTTGTCAGGCAAAATTGAGGTTTAGTTCATAAAAGATTGTTGTACTGTCTAATTAGAGAGGATGAGGAACTAGAAATCCTGTTCAATAACATTCCCGATCTCAGTTAACTTCTGTGGAAAACACTGAGTCCCACCGAGAATACCATTGTTCCTATCTGTACCAGCCAGGCAAACTAGGATAATTTAAGGAGGATTTCATGCAGAGGCTGTTTTCAAATGTTATGGGAAAATCAGAAGCATTATATAATACCCTGGGGGTGTTACCTTCTCAAGGGGAGAAGTGGATGGAATGACTACCAAGAACAAGGAGAAAGTCAGGTAGAGATGGCCACCTAGGAGGAACTGTGACCTTGAATCAAGGGAGTCAGCCTTCCTGCTGACTGAAAACCCTGCTGAAAGGGAGCTTAGAAAATGAACACCTTGACCTGATCTCTTCCCTAACCAATTGAATAAACCTAACCAGAAGCCAGAGGGCAAGAAAGTCTGCTGGCATTCATTGAGGTCAGCCTCCAGAGGCAGAGAGCAGGGTGGAAGAGGGTGAACAATTAATTTGGAAGGGAAAAAGAACATTATCTAACATATTATAAAACAGAGTTTTCAAAGTAATATACCCCTTACCTAATTTGGGGGATACATGAAGATTTTCCTAGGGGTATGTGGCAAGAACAGCTTTAAGTCTATCAAGTTCCAGATCCTCCAGCTGCATTTGTATTCTTTCCTAATATTAATCTGCCTGAGAATATGCCTTTGGTTATGGCCACTTCTTTCCTACTATCCCTTTTACAAATGCCCTTATTCACCTTAAAAAAAAAAAAAGAAAAAGAAAAAAGAAAAAGAAAGAAAAGACAGCCGGGCACAGTGGCTCACGCCTGTAATCCCTGCACTTTGGGAGGCCGAGGCGGGTGAATCACCTGTCAGGAGTTCAAGACCAACCTGGGCAACATGGTGAAACCCCATCTCTATTAGAAATACAAAAATTAGCTGGGTGCGGTGGAGTGTGCCTGTAATCCCAGCTACTAGGGAGGCTGAGGCAGGAGAATCACTTGAGCCTGGGAGGCGGAAGTTGCAGTGAACAGAGATTGCACCACTGCACTCCAGCCTGGGCAACAGAGCAAGACTCCATCTCAAAAAAAAAAAAAAAAGAAAGAAAGAAAGAAAAGAAAAGAAAAGACATATCTTACTTATCTGGAACAAAAGGCATGCCTCTTATCCATACTTATGTATTACCCTTACCTACGAACACTTCTAAAGTGACAAAGGTACAATTTGAAAAAGAGTCTGTGAACTATCTTTTATCCAAATATATAACGTATTTCATTTATTGTGACTGTGTACCAACACATTTGCAATGGTTACTCAAACCAGAAGAACATTTTTTTAGCAGTTACAGCAGTGATTCCCTTCACATTATAACTACTTGAAGAGATTTAAAGACATCTCAGTGCCAAGGCTGCACCCCAGATCAATTAAGTTAGAATCTCTAGGGTTAGGACAAAAATTACATCGGCAATTTTTAAATGTTCTTAGGTAATTCAACTATGTAACATTGAGAAATACAGAATTAGAGACTTAACGAATTAGAGACTATTGATAATAGAATGTTAAATGTTTTAAAAATATTGTATGTGTCCATTTTGTTTCAGAAAACTATTATAGGGTGATGCATAGACATTTTAGTAAAAAGTTATACCACATTAGGATCCTAAATCACATAGGATTCCTATGGAGGAAGCAGAATAAAATATGGACATAAACCAGTTCAAAGAACAAAAGGAACAATGTAAAATTTCCAGCATTGTAGAGCTTTTTTTTAAAAAAAGGATAATGGTGTTTATCAAATCATTGTCACATTGTGCTAAGATAGAGTAGCTTCCAGCAGACCATGTTTCTGATGAAGCAACTAAAAAAGCTAAATAAAAGACAAACAAAAATTCTCTTAGAGGTATCAAAGATATACTAAAGCAACCTAGACTTCATGGGCCATGATCTCAGAGGAAAGGAAGAAGAATGAGCTAACATTCACTGAAACAAATTTCCCCATGAGCCATTTGTTGATTCTAGTCCTGGACAGGAGGCTAAAAACCAAAGTAGAACAACATGGAGGGGAGACATAGAAGCCAGCAGAGTTTTAGGCAATCTGATGGGCTGCAGGGACAAAAATAATACTTATGGGAGTGAAGACATCTAGGGCTTGAGGGGCTAAGATCGAGGAAGAAGAAAATACAAATAAATATGGCCAATACTTAGTGTTTTTTTCCCTCAGAGGAATTTGCCAGAGTAGAATTCTGTGTAACTATGCAAAAAGTTTCTGAAAAGCAGAGTGGTATGTTAGCTGTCTCAGAGAGCTGAAAGGAAAAATATTTAGAAACCTCCAAAGAAGCATCCCAAATCCTCGGTGAGGCTGCTATATGCTATACACTGCAGGGCAAAGAGAAAAAGAATTGACTAGACCTCACAAAACTGAAACTCAGCCTCAAGTCAGTTTAGTCATTGATTGGATTGAAATAATCTGTGTCACCCTGGCTGCCTATCAAAAAATAAAAATGATGCCCCTCCAGAAGAAGGCAACATCATCCATAGCCTCTGTACTTCCTCTTACATTCACTCAAAAATTCTTCCATTCACTCAAAAATTGCTAAGCAGGCTGGCAAAGCTATGGAGACAATAAATAGATCAGATGGTGACTGCCAGAGGTAAGGATGGAGGGAGGAACAAATAAATGGAGCACAGAGGATTTTTATAGTAGTGAGACTATTCTGTCTAATAGTATAGAGGTGGATAAAAGTCATTATATGTTTGTCAAACCCACAGAATAAACAACAACAAGAATGAACTCTAATGAAAACCATGGACTTTGGGTGATAAGGATGTGTTAATGTAGATTCAATGATTGTAACAAATGTACAACACTGGGGTAGGATGTTAACAATGGGGGACACTGTGCAAGTGTGTGTGTGGGCAAGCGGAAGATGGTAACTCACTGTTCTTTCTTTTCAATTTTGCTGTAACCCTAAAAGTTCTCTAAAAAGTAGTTTATTTTAAAAGATTGGCAAGCATATCAAGAAATGAAACCAAAAAGCAAATAAAAGAATTATAGATGGCCCGTTTATTGAAACAGACTTTAAAATGTATGTGATGGACATGTTCAAGAAAATAGTTATTAAAGTGAAGAATTTCAGCTGGAAACTAAATATTTTGAAACATCAAATGGAAATTATGAAAGTGAAACATTTAATATTTTAAATAAGGAACTCAATAGAAGATTTTGACAGCAGATTGGATATGCAAAAAAAAAAGTTAGTGAACTAAAAGACAGAATAATAGATATTCTAGAGAGAAAGAGAAAAAAAGAGATATCTGGGGCATAATGAAATTCGTCTACAGATGTAAACACACCTCCAGGATGAAAATCCTTCCTCCAGAATGAAAAGTGCTACAAACTAAAGTAGAGTTAATACAAAGAAAATGACATCTAGGCATATTAGAGGAAAAAACTGTTAAAACCAAAGACAAAAGATAAAAATTTAAAAGCAAGCCAAAGAAAAAAGGCATTATCTTTAAATGAGCTACAATAAGATGGACAGCTGACTTGTCTACAGAGGGCAACAGAAAAAACACCTTTATAGTATGGGAAGAAAACAACTGTCATCATAGAAATCTATACCTGGTAACAATATCTGTTATAAAAACAAGGCAAAATGAGGATTTTTTAGCCCTTCAAAAATAGATAATTCCTCACTAGCAGATGTTTACTGAAAGAAATGCTGAGAATTTTTACAGCAAAAGGAAAAATAATATAATATCTCCTCCTCCCCAAGCAAAGGAAAAGAATACAATGTCAGAAGGAGTCAAAACCAAACAGATTGATAAATACAAAAAAAAATTGACTATATGGAACAATAATAATAATGAGTTGTGGTATCAAAAGTATATGTAGAGTTAAAATCCCTGGGAAAGTAACATAAAAGGCGGAAAGTAAATAGAGTAAAAGTGCTCCAAGGTCCTATCTGGGAATGGATAAATATACTAATTTATATTAAGACTACAAAGAATTCAAGATATATGCGATAATCTCTAGGATAATCACCAAAGAACAATATAAATGTACAATTACCAATATAATAAAGCAAAAAATGGAACAATAAAAATATTTGATTAATACAACCAAAGGCTAGAAAAGAGAGAAAGGGAACATAGAAAGTAAAAACTGAAGTGTATAAAAATCGCATTAAATATAAGAAACTAAATACTCAAAATAAAAGACAAAAATTCTCAGGCTAGATTTTTTAGAAAACAGATTCTTCTTCTAAAAGCCATGTATTAGGAATAAGGCCACAGAAAAGTTGTTAGTAAAAGAATGGAAAAGATAACATGGTAATAATAAACAAAGGAAAGCTGGTGTAGCTATACTTATATCATAGTAGCCTTTAAATAAAAAGGCAAGAAACATTACTAAAAATAGAGATAGTTTATAAGATATAAAAATTCTATATCTGTATACAATGAATAACATAGCCTCAAAATACAAAAAGCAAAAGTTGAAAGAACTAGGTGGAGAAATAGAAGTGGATGACTAACATCCATCTCTCACCATTTGCAAATCAATCAACAACAAATTAATGACATAAATCTGAACAACACAATTAACAAACTTAACTGACATATATAGAACAACGTACTTATTAAAAAAGAATTCACATTCCTTTCAAGTACATTTAAAATATTTACCCATATCAACTATATTTGGCTATGAAATAAACCTCAATGCATTTAAAAGGATTAAACTCATTCAGAATATATTATCTGAAATTAAGCTAGTCATTAGTAACATAAAGTAATTATCCAAATACTAAGATTTTCTTTTTGTAAATTAAGCATCCAATTCTAAATAATCCAAATGAGAAAATCACAATGAAATCAGAAGATATTTTGAAATTAATGATAACAAAAATATGGCATTATTTTTTAAATGGAATAAAAACATTATGTATATGAAGTTGTAGGATACACATAACAATGCTAAGAGAGAAATTATATATTTAAATACATATATTAGAAAACAAAAAAGAATGAAAGTCTATGATGTAATTATTATGTAAGTTTAGAGAAAGGACAAGTTAAACCCACAAAAATTACTAGGAAGGCAAAAATAATTTTTTAAAGTAGAAATTAATAATATTGAAAATACCAGTAAGAAGTTGAATCTCTGAATAGACCAATAACAGGTTCTGAAATTGAGGCAATAATTAATAGCTTACCCACCAAAAAAAGTCCAGGACCAGATGGATTCACAGCCGAATTCTACCAGAGGTAAAAGGAGGAGCTGGTACCATTCCTTCTGAAACTATTTCAATCAATAGAAAAAGAGGGAATCCTCCCTAACTCATTTTATAAGGCCAGCATCATCCTGATACCAAAGCCTGGCAGAGACATAACAACAAAAGAGAATTTTAGACCAATATCCCTGATGAACATCGATGCAAAAATCCTCAATAAAATACTGGCAAACCGAATCCAGCAGCACATCAAAAAGCTTATCTACCATGATCAAATGGGCTTCATCCCTGGGATGCAAGGCTGGTTCAAAATACACAAATCAATAAACGTAATCCAGCATATAAACAGAACCAACGATAAAAACCATATGATTATCTCAATAGATGCAGAAAAGGCCTTTGACAAAATTCAACAACCTTCATGCTAAAAACTCTCAATAAATTAGGTATTGATGGGACATATCTCAAAATAATAAGAGCTATCTATGACAAACCCACAGCCAATATCATACTGAATGTGCAAAAACTGGAAGCATTCCCTTTGAAAACTGGCACAAGACAGGGATGCCCTCTCTCACCACTCCTATTCAACATAGTGTTGGAAGTTCTGGCCAGGGCAATCAGGCAGGAGAAGGAAATAAAGGGCATTGAATTAGGAAAAGAGGAAGTCAAATTGTCCCTGTTTGCAGATGACATGATTGCATATCTAGAAAACCCCATCGTCTCAGACCAAAATTTCCTTAAGCTGATAAGCAACTTCAGCAAAGTCTCAGGATACAAAATCAATGTGCAAAAATCACAAGCATTCTTATACACCAATAATAGACAAACAGAGAGCCAAATCATGAGTGAACTTCCATTCACAATTGCTTCAAAGAGAATAAAATACCTAGGAATCCAACTTACAAGGGATGTGAAGGACCTCTTCAAGGAGAACTATAAACCACTGCTCAATGAAATAAAAGAGGATACAAACAAATGGCAGAACATTCCATGCTCATGGGTAGGAAGAATCAATATCATGAAAATGGCCATACTGCCCAAGGTAATTTATAGATTCAATGCCATCCCCATCAAGCTAACAATGACTTTCTTCACAGAATTGGAAAAAACTACTTTAAAGTTCATATGGAACCAAAAAAGAGCCCGCATTGCCAAGTCAATCCTAAGCCAAAAGAAGAAAGCTGGAGGCATCACGCTACCTGACTTCAAACTATACTACAAGGCTACAGTAACCAAAACAGCATGGTACTGGTACCAAAACAGAGATATAGACCAATGGAACAGAAAAGAGCCCTCAGAAATAATGCCGCACATCTACAACCATCTGATCTTTGACAAACCTGACAAAAACAAGAAATGGGGAAAGGATTCCCTATTTAATAAATGGTGCTGGGAAAACTGGCTAGCCATATGTAGAAAGCTGAAACTGGATCCCTTCCTTACACCTTATACAAAAATTAATTCAAATGGATTAAAGACTTAAATGTTGGACCTGAAACCACAAAAACCCTAGAAGAAAACCTAGGCAATACCATTCAGGACACAGGCATGGGCAAGGACTTCATGTCTAAAACACCAAAAGCAATGGCAACAAAAGCCAAAATTGACAAACGGGATCTAATTAAACTAAAGGGCTTCTGCACAGCAAAAGAAACTGCCATCAGAGTGAACAGGCAACCTACAGAATGGGAGAAGATTTTTGCAATCTACTCATCTGACAAAGGGCTAATATCCAGAATCTACAATGAACTCCAACAAATTTACAAGAAAAAAACAAACAACCCCGTCAAAAAGTGGGCGAAGGATATGAACAGACACTTCTCAAAAGAAGATATTTATGCAGCCAAAAGACACATGAAAAAATGCTCATCATCACTGGCCATCAGAGAAATGCAAATCAAAACCACAATGAGATACCATCTCACTCCAGTTAGAATGGTGATCATTGAAAAGTCAGGAAACAACAGGTGCTGGAGAGGATGTGGAGAAACAGGAACACTTTTACACTGTTGGTGGGACTGTAAACTAGTTCAACCATTGTGGAAGTCAGTGTGGTGATTCCTCAGGGATCTAGAACTAGAAATACCATTTGACCCAGCAATCCCATTACTGGGTCTATACCCAAAGGATTATAAATCATGCTGCTATAAAGACACATGCACATGTATGTTTATTGTGGCATTATTCACAATAGCAAAGACTTGGAACCAACCCAAATGTCCAACAATGATAGACTGGATTAAGAAAATATGGCACATATACACCATGGAATACTATGCAGCCATAAAAAATGATGAGTTCATGTCCTTTGTAGGGACATGGATGAAGCTGGAAACCATCATTCTCAGCAAACTATCACAAGGACTAAAAACCAAACACTGCATGTTCTCACTCATAGGTGGGAATTGAACAATGAGAACACATGGACACAGGAAGGGGAACATCACACACCGGAGCCTGTTGTGTGGTGGGGGGAGTGGGGAGGGAAAGCATTAGGAGATATACCTAATGTTAAATGACAAATTAATGGGTGCAGCACACCAACATGGCACATGTATACATATGTAACTAACCTGCACGTTGTGCACATGTACCCTAAAACTTAAAGTATAATAAAAAAAAAAAGAAAAAGAAAATACATATATAATAGAGTCAACAAAAGTACTTATTTCATAAGATTAATAAAATTAATAAACTTCTGACAAGAACTGTCAAGAAAAAAAAAGGCTGGGTGGGTGGCTTATGCCTGTAATCCTAGCACTTTCAGAGGCTGAGGTGGGTAGATCATTTGAGGTCAGAATTCAAGACCAGCCTGACCAACATGTTGTAACTCCGTCTCTACTAAAAATACAAGAAAATTAGCCGGGCGTGGTGGTATATGCCTGTATTCCCAGCTACTCTGGAGGCTGAGGCAAGGGAATTGCTTGAACCCGGGAGGCAGAGGTTGCAGGGAGCCGAGATCGCATCACTGCACTCCAGCCTGGGCAATAGAGCAAGATTCTGGAAAAAAAAAAAAAAAAAAAAACAAAGTAAAAAGAAAAGAAGGAAGAAGGGAAGGGCGGGGAAGGGCGGGGAAGGGTGGGGGAGGGGAGGGGGAGGGGAGGCAAGGGGAGGGGAGGGGAGGCGAGGGGAGGGGAGGCGAGGGGAGGGGAGGGGAGGCGAGGGGAGGGGAGGGGAGGGGAGGGGAAAGTCATATATTACCAATATCATGAGTAAAAAATGGGATATTACCACTGATTTTTTTAGACATTAAAAAGATAGGATGACTTCTTGTTTCACTTTCAACAAGAGCCTAGAAGTTGTCGCTTCCATCCTTGCAACAACTACAAAAAAACACTAAACAAACTGAAAATAAATGACTTTTCTTAGATCCATCAAAAAACTGAGGTTGCAAGACAAACTGCTACTGTGAAATTTGAAGAGATAAGTGAATACAGAGAATCACAGTTGAGATCAGCTCACCTTAAGCAGAAGCCACTTGGAGCCATAAACTGTAGGAACACTTAATTGTTGAGGAACTGCTACAGTATGCCTGTGGACTAGCTTAAGAGTGGGTGAACTTCTGGGGACTCAGTTTTGTGGGTTTTACTGCCAGGGACCAAATCAAATTCTCATGGTGAAGATAGCCAAATAGAAACATAACCACAAATATAAGGTTGCCTAATTTATAACAAAGATGGCCTTGCAGTGTTGTGGAAATATATGCCATTTTAGTAAATATTCTTGGGTCAATTGGCTATGAAGCAGGGGAGAATTACTTTTACTTCTGCCTCACACAGTACACAAAAGTCAATTCAAATTGATTTTTACCTAATTAATTATGTAATACAGTAGTAATTTTATATTATATCATATTGAGATTATATTTATATTTATGTGAATGCTGAAATAATATAACCTCTAGAGGAGTACTTGCAAGAACATTTTCATAATCTTGAGTTGGCAGAAATTTCTTATACAGGATATAAAAGGTACTAACCATACAGGAAAATAGTTAAAAATTGGTACACATTAAAATTAATAACTTGCATATAAAAGACACCACTAGTAAAATTGAAAGCCAAAGAATGAAATAGGATATTTGCAATATGTACATCAAAGAGCTTATATAGAGACTATACAGAGAGTACCAACAGATCAATAAGAAAAAGAATAACCCAATAGAAAAATGGAAAGAGACTTACAAAAAAAGGATATCCAAAGAACCAAAAAAATTTGAAAAGTGCTCAAATTTTATACTCACTAGAATAGGTAAAAGGAAAAATAAACAGAGACTATCAAATGATGCAGAGCAGCTAAAACTCTCACATACTTCTAATAAAAAGATAATTTGGTACAAATACCCTGAAAAATGTCTGAATATATGACAATATATAAAAAAAGCTGAATATATGCATGACCCAATCTTCCAACAGTTTCACTGTTAGACATACAACTAACATAAATGTTTACATACATCACAAAAAAGCATGAATAAAAATATGTACAGCAGCACTGCCCATAATAGCCTCAAATTGAAAATAATTCAAATGTACACTAAAAATGTAATAAATAAATTGCAGTATATTCCTACTAAGGACTACAACACAGCAAGGAGAATGACGTATTTCTACTCCCAACAATAAATTCCATAAACTTAATACTGAGCAAAAGAAGCCATATTCAAAAGCATAACTACTATATAATCCCATTTACATAGAGTTTAAAAACAGGAAACTAATCTGTGATACTAAAGTCCCAATAATGGTTACCTTTGTGGCAAAGGACTGTCTTAGAAGGAGCGAAGAAGAACTTCTTAAACTGTTTGTCTGTTTGCTGGTTACATGAGTGTCTTAACTCTGTGGAACCAGTGGGATGTACACTCATAATTTGGTACATTTTTAAATGTTATATGTCAATCAAAAATTTGTTTTTAAATGATCACTATGGTATTTTGATGTCATTAGTACTTTTCAAAAAATGAAGTAATGGTTCTATTTTTCAATGTCATTCATTTATAACACACAGGAAAATGATATCCTTTGTAATCATTTATAGTGTTAATGAAAAATTTTAGATGTTAACTTAAAAATTTATGAAAAAGTATGTATTTTTTCTTTAAAACCTTTGAATGTATATCTGAGAATAAAGCTTATTGACCACTACTATAGTGTGTGAAACTCAGTAGAAGAGGCTGAGCCTTACTTAGGTGCTGTTTTGATAAGGAGCTGTGGACCTGTATATATTTCCCAAAATAGGTCTCCAGTCAGCAAAAAATTAGAGTATACTGAGGATACTTACAAATGATATAAGTAGAAACTATTTTTTAGCTAACAAGAAGTTTTAGGTAATTTAATGGTTGTATGCCACACCAGCAGAACTCTGGGTTGTCAAATATACACTCTACAGAGCAGTTGGTCACATATGTGCAGAAGTCCTTACTAGGATCAGCAATGATTTTTCTTTGTTTTTTTTTTTCCTGCCCCTCCATGTTAGTAATAGAAATGGAGACAACAGTAATAAGAGGTGAGAGAATCAACCTTTGCTCCAATCATTTCTAGTTTTATAGTAAATTGTTCCCTGTTATGCAGGTGAGGCAATGTCTTCGGTCCCATCTTTGGGCATATTTGGAGATAAGCCAATTACTTGTTCTAATTCTTCTTTTTCTGGAACTTTCTAAGCCTAGATCTTGGATCATAGCACTCTGCTCTTCTCCCCTCTTCCTATGCTTGAAATCTTCAAGAAACTCTCCACATAAAAGTTACTGGCCAGCTTTATATCTGCCTCTCTGCTGATATCCTTTATTTTTGAAAACTCAGAATCTCTTTACCCTCCTTTCCCCTCATTCCTTCACCCAGGATTGTGAGCTCGTCTCCTTTCTCTGGTTTCTGCTTCATCCATTGTGCCATTCTTCTTCTATGTGTTGTTAATGCCCTGCTTCCAATCAATTCTTCCTTTTTGTTTTAACCTCAGGCCAAGGTTTATTCCTCCTCAAAATTTTTCCCTTGTTTTTATTATCCCCTTGAGTACCAAACTTTGCTGTTAATTTTTCTGAAAGAATAGTCTCGACTTAGAAACATCACTTTCATTCCAAACATTTGCTATGTAAATTAATGTTGTCTGGATCCTGCCCTGTAATTCCACAGAAACTCCTATGACAAAGTTGTCAATGACCTCATAATGGATAATTCCAAAAACCTATTCCAGGCCTAGCTTTTTTGACTCACCTTTGTCATTTTCCTCTTCACACCAGCCTCTCCTCCTTTGAACTACATTTTATTTGATACTGAGGAACTTCGCTCACCCATTTCTTTCTCTCTCATTGACTCCTTTTATGACTTCATCACTTCCTCTTGTCATCTAGCCATGTAAAAGAAGGAGCTCCTTTGGGCATTGTGCTGAGAATGTCTCTCTTTGTGTCCCCTCCCCAGCCCTACTATTTTTCTGCTCATCACCCCATTCATTCTCATAGTGTTGGCCTTACAGATATAAACTCCAATTAGATCTTGTCAATGAGACTTGGGGCCTCAATAGGGTGCTCTTGAGTAATATGTGTTGACTCCTAAATCACTTATATATTTATTTACTTTACAAGATGATGTTTATATGGTTTTTGGTTTTTGTTGGTTTTTGATATTTTTTTTTTCTTTTGAGACAGGGTCTTGATCTGCCACCTAGGCTGGAGTGCAGTGGTGCAATCATGGCTCACTGCATCCTCAAACTCCTGGGCTCAAGCGTTCTTCTTGCCTCAGCCTTCTGAGTAGCTGGGACTACAGGTATGCACTACTGCACCCAGCTAATTTTTGTGTATTTCTTTTCTTTTTTTTTTTTTTTTTTGGCAGATACAGGCTTTCACCATATTGCACAAGCTGATCTGAAACTCCTGGGCTCAAGCCATCCACCCACCTCCACCTTCCAAAGTGCTGGGATTTATAGGCATGAGTCACTGTGCCAGGCCATATATGGTGTTTTGCTTATATGTTTTCAATTTTAAGGTACCCAAGGGCAAGCACCATGCATAACTAACTTTCCACATTTCAAAAATGATGATGGTGGTGATTTTAAAGCTTCCTCTTTCTTACCTTGTTGACTCTCACAGTGTCATCTGAAGGGGCCATTTCTCCTGGTTACCCTAGCTTTTTACCAGTGACTTGGTCTCTTCCTGTAGTGGCAACACACGTGAAGCCAGTCAGAAAGAAACAGTGCTTCTCTAGCAGCATGAATCAGCAGCCACAAGTTTGCATTTTGGAAATAGTTTTGGCAGTGAGGGAAATTATCCTGAGTTAATTGGTGCTGTTATCTCTAAGTGGAAAGAAGGAGTCATCTGAGGGTGGGGTGGGGCAGAATGAAATCAGTGGAGGGCTAGCAATTAGGCCAACTCAGCAGCAGCATGGGAAAGGTTAGAAACAAATATTCTGCTGAAATTGAATGTAACTTAGAGCCAGAAAATTCCTGGGAAACCACATTAGCCAAACCTCTCATTTCACAGATAAGAGGCCCAGAGAGGTTGTTATTTCATCTCTGATTTAAACAAGTAAGTCAACAGCAGAACCACAGCAGGACTCTACAGCTCCAGTTCCTAGTCCAGGGCTTTCAGCTTCACCACTCTGCCTCAAGATGCTTCCATTGCATGGTCTGCTCAGGATTAGCAAGTGGGTCTTCTCTGTGGGGACTTTTTGACTCTTGAGAATTAAAAAAAAAAAAAGCATTATCAACCAAAGACTCAGCAATATATATATATACACAGAAAATCAACAAGGGCAACATCTTTTCAGAGGCCAAGTGGTCTAAATTGATGTAGACTTTCTCTTCAACCAGAGTCTTAATGTATCCTACATGAGGCGATGTATGTGTTGATTTGGGTATCTTCCCAGCCTCACAGATCATCGAACTTTGCCTTCATTCTTACACATCAGTCCACTCCCAGGGCCACAGTCCAGATACCAGCCACTACCAGGAATTGTCTGTCAAAGTCAGTTCAGACTGCTATGACAAAATACTATACACTGGGTAGGTTGTAAATAAGAGAAATATTTCTTACAGTTCTGGAGGCTATAATGTCCAAGATTAAGGTGCCAGCAGTTTCCGTGTTTGCCATTGGCCTGCTTTTTGCCTCATAGGTCATGCCTTTTAGCTGTGTCCTCACATGGTGAAAGGGAGCAAGGGAACTCTCTGGGGCCTCTTTCGTCAGGACACTAACCCCATTCATGAAGGCCCCACCCTCGTGATCTAATCACCTCCCAAGAACCCCATCCTCTAATATCATCACCTTGATGATTAGGTTTTCAGCACACGAATTTTGAGGGGACACAAACATTCAGACCCTAGCATATTCTCTTAGCAAAATTTCACTCTCCAATCTCTACTTCTAATTCTTCCACTTCTCACACTCTAACTATGTCTGTACTGTGACATTTCCACTCTCATCATGCCTCCCTATACCCTCTCAAATTCCTCTTGGTTTCAATTTTCTCACCCAGCTTGGACCATACAGTCAATAATTTCAGCCATGTCTTTGCAACATCTTTGTCTCCCACCTTCCTGATTCCTGGGTGTTGGGTCCAGCAAATCCTTCTGATGTGGTTTGTATCTCTGTTCCCACCCAAATCTCATGTTGAATTGTAATTCTCAGCCCTGGTGGAGGAGCCTCACGGGAGGGGATTTGATCATGGTGGTGGAGTTCTCATGAATGGCTTAGCACCAGCTCCCCTTGGTACTGTATGGTGAGTGAGTTCTCAAGAGATCTGGTTGTTTAAAAGTGTGTAGCAGCAGCGTGGGAAAGGTTAGACACAACTATTCTGCTGAAACTGAATATGATTTAGAGCCAGAGACTTTCTGGGAAACCAGGAATTTCCCGCTTTCTCTTCCTCCTGTTTCTGCCACGTAAGACAGGCTTGCCTCTCCTTCACCTTCCACCATGATTGTAAGTTTCCTGAGGTCTCCCCAGAAGCCAAGCAAATGCCAGAATCATGTTTCCTGTACAGTTGCAGAATTGTGAGCCAATTAAACCTTGTTTCTTTACAAATTACTCAGTCTCGGGTATTTCTTTATAGCAATGAGAGAACAGACTAATACACCTTACTTAATCCTATCACATTCATTTTTTCTGCTCCTGACATGTTGAGCTCAGTTGAATAAAATGACAACATTGTAACAATTAGCCACTAGTGTACATTTGTCATTTCCACTCTCACATGGGCCTTCATTACAGCTCAATATTTTTATTCTCATCCTATTTCTTATTTCCTGTATACCAGCAATATCAGAGCTCTCAAATTATCTCTTCCATTTGACTCACGTGACTTTCAGAAATGGCCACATTTCCCAGGACACTAAACAAAAAAGGGCCCATTGATGTACACTCCTCCAACTTCCACCTTCCCACCTCCAATAAACACATCACCACCCTTACCTTCTTTAACCTTCTCTAAAACCTACAGAGCTATTTAGATATAAATACCTGTGACTTTCCCCTTTCACCCGCATCCTCTTTTCCTATTGATTGTACAGAAACTTTAAAAATAATCATTTTACTGGGAGAAACTAAACTTCCCTCTTTCCCTCTTTGTACTTGCTAATCAAATGTCTTTGCTTAATTTTCTCTAGTTACACACACACACACACACAGAGAAAGAAATACACACACAGAGAGACACATACACACGTGAATTTAAGTTCATATGAGCCCATGAAATTAGTGCCTTTATTTAGTAATAAATCATCTTAATAGTAATAAATCATCTTAATATTTAGTAATAAATCATCTTAATAGAGCTCAGGGAAAAATAAGTACTGGTGCATGCTAGATTTGGTCATGGTGTTTCTACACACCCTCCCAGTAGGCAGTTTGTAGTAGTTCCATCAGTAATGAAATGCCAATTATCAGCAGTTAACAGCACATACTTAACCTGCTGATATCACATGAAGTGGGAGTTTTCCAAGATCTCAATCTTTTTATTTCCAAAATTTCTAAATTAGCAAGCCTACTCTGGGGCTACTTTATAAGGTATTTATGATACCTAGGAGCCCCAAGTATGTTTCCCAGAATTCATTTTAACTAAGCAACAACTAGCTGTACACATGATATTTTCCCCGTAAACACCATTTCTGCTAAGAGAAATTAGACATTTGCAGATCAGAAGAATTGACATGCTGATGGTCCCGGATCCTGGCAGAAACACACTCTATGTTTCTCTTAGGATGGTTGAGAAAAATACAAAGGTATGACATCCCACAAAGGAACCTCAGTATTTGCCCCTCCTTATCAGCTAAACTTAAGTGTTCACTTAATTACCTCTTGACTTACATCTAGGTTGTCATTAAGCAAAAAACAAAATAAACAAACAAACAAAAAAGATTATAAGGAGATCCATTGTACTTCATACTTTGGCTAAATCTCAGCTTTTTCAGTTTAGATATTTTCAAACCCCAGACTGATGGCCACTGTGATGTTGTCTTTCATAAATTTGGAGAATACACAAACTCAGACTTCCTAAGCCTTCCCTAGGCAGTTGGTCCTGACCCTGGAGGCCCTTAATCTGCAGAGAGGAATAGAATAGAGGGCATAAGGGCTTTCGTTATTATGCTTGATCATGACTTGTACATATTACCCTTGGCATGTGACATGGTGTCCACAGCTGTAATTCTTTCTTAAATTTGTTTGGAGCTAGTGGATGATGGCCCCTGAGCCAGGCTGGGCTGACCCCCATGAATGGTGCCTTTTTGCAGAGTTATTTTGCCCGGTGTCAGAAATAACTTTACGTAACTCATTATTCTTTTTTACTGAGTATAAATAAAGTTGCATGTCATCTGATAGTTTATGAAGTAATGCACACATGCTCTTAATATGGTGAGCAACAGCACACGGCTTAGAGAAACTTAAACATTCAATCTCTTGCCACCTCTCCTTCCCCTACACCAAAAAAAAAGAATAGGGGAAAAGTTATTTTAAGTGGGAATTAATAGGACACTCTAACAGTTTCAGGTAAGGTTTGGGGACTTGTGTATATGTATAGGTGTTTAATCCTTTTAAAATAACCATAAGATAAAAACTTTGGGGAAAGTTCAAACAAATTTAGGAGGATTGATGAATATTTAGTAACTAGGGCATTTTGGAAATTCTAAGTAAGAACAGGAACCTTTCCTTTTGTCCTTTCTATCAGTGCTTCCAGTGATGTTGCTGTGCTCCTGAGCACCTCTGTATACCAGAGCCCAGAACAATAAACGCAGCAAATTAAATGTGGCTCCAGTGGTTTGGGACCGGGACCAATAAGTTATCTTTATTAATGCATTCAGGGAAAAGGTCTCATTTTTATTACATTGTTTCCTTAATGATAAAGGCAGTAACAGCACTGCACAAAAACACTCCAAAGAAATCTCGGGTTTTTGGCAGCCAGGTTAATCTCCCTGTGTGTTTCATACAGAGTAGGGATTTGGCACAGTTTAACTCACACACTCCTGGGTTTAAAAAGCAGCCCCCTCCCCCTTTTCTCATGCTGCCTCTCTTTGCTTACTCTGACATTTTCTTGGCTTCTACTGAAATTTTGACACATAAATCCCACTTGTCAAATGATATTGTAAAACAAGCATCCAAGTGTCAGCACATGGCCCGATAGTCTGGGGACTAGAGAATAGAATGAGGAACACCTCTATGGCAGCTTTCATCTGCCTCCAGCCACCTGCAAGTAATTTGAAACTCGTTTCCAACACAGCTAGGTTATTTGGCCTGGCAACATACACAGAGCAAAAAGAAAAGGCCAGAGTCATCAAAACCTGTTAACTCTGTTATGAGTAGATAAAACAGTATATTTTTAAAAATCTGCCTCAGACCAATCCATTAACATTCAGTCAGATGGGCTGAAATCTCTTTTTAGTTACAAATCCCACCAAACAGCTTTGGCCCATTAAGACATCACATTTGCCAAACACTCCCAGCCTCTGGGCCTCACGTTGTTGGACTTGCAAATAGCTGAGCCCCTGACAGGACTTCTGTGATCCTTCTGGAGTCTGAATCTGGGATGTTTCCCTCTCACTTAGGGATAAAACAGAGACTCTAAGTCAAGATGTGGAAAGTCTCTTATGAAGAAGTGGTTACCTTCTTTGCCCAAATCCATAAAATATCCGTGATTATTCTTTATTCTTAGCAGACTTATAGGGTTCTCTGTGGAGATTTTGGTTTGGTTTGCAAAGAATGGTTCAAAGTTCATAGGCAGCAATGAAGAGAAAAGCAAGGAATAGAGCTCTATGGATGGAATGACACCCAGGAAATTTCAGTTAATTTCAGGTCCTTGCTTGGCCAAAGTCAACTTCACTGAATAGCAGTTTGTTCATCTGTACAGGGGGACACTAATTTCTATCTCAAAAAAAAAAAATGTCAAATTAAATGAGGCAATTTAGCGAACCTGTTCAGCAAATGTTAGCTTTTATTATCTATTTTTTTTAACAATAAGACACAAGCACGTGAAGCAATCAGAGGTGGTTTTGCTATGGATCTAATGATGCTTGCACCCCTCTCACCTGGAAGGAGCCCCAGCAGTGCAGTAAAACATTCATAGAATTGTAAAGTTTGAAGAAGTAATATATGGTT
This sequence comes from Homo sapiens, assembly GCF_000001405.40. Classification (NCBI taxonomy): domain Eukaryota; kingdom Metazoa; phylum Chordata; class Mammalia; order Primates; family Hominidae; genus Homo; species Homo sapiens. The sequence goes on along the minus strand of NC_000004.12, from coordinate 154,160,073 downwards.
GTGGTAACAAACTGGTGTTTGAATATCATCAAATTCAAAGATAATTTAAGGCTCATGCTTGCACAATGAAACTTGAAATAACTTAAATCTCACAGTTCTTATGAAAAAGGCACTTGTTTCAAATTTGGCAATAATCTTCAACATTTATATAGCATACCATTAACAAGTTGTAAAGCTAAAAGAATGCTATTAAACAATAATAAAAAACAAATTTTGATCATCCATGCTAAAGGAAATATTAAATCATCTTTCTTTGCTCTCATTAGAAAATAATATAACAAAAGCATTCTGATATGAAGTGATCAAAGAGTGTGCAGCCAAAAAGTAGGAAAAAGTATTTTATAGGTGAGCCATGAAGTTAATTAATTAAATTATGTAATTTTAGAAAGTTTGCAGTGTGATTATAGTGTTTTTAAATTATGTAATTTTCTATGATTACCTATCTCATAATATTCACTTTCATATCATAACCTGAATTTTTTTCTCAAAGAGGAACTACCCTAAATTATATAAGCTTCAAACCCCAAAAAACCTGGATTTGCTCTTGAGGGCAAGGAACAAGGGAGTTGTTTATGAACACAGAAATAATAAACTTCTATGACTTCAGGCAGGCCGGGCAAGCCCTTGGACAAACTTGTGCTGATTTATTTTGGGATGCTCCTTGTCCTTCCTACCCCTATTCCCTAATCCTGGATTCTCCTTCCACCTACACTTCAGGCCCTCCTCCCTTCAGCGTCACTTAGTAAAGCCCAGAAACTAACAGTATTCCCTGCATCTTCCTTCCTTCCCCTCTGCTCTGTCTATACCCCAGTCGATACCCACCTGTGCACACTTACCCTCCCAGAATTTGCTTCAGATCATGAGAAAAAAAGCCATTCATATTTTACTATGTGACGGTAAACTGGCTAAACACTAGACCATGTAAATTAACCATACAAACATGTCATTAGTGGGTTTCAAAAAACTCTAAAAGAGGATGTTTAAAAGGAAGGCTATGAGCACTTGGAGATTGAGGGCAGGAGCTACTTGGTGCATCTCTGAATGCTGGCGGTTATTCCTCCTCTAGCTTGATGGCAGTTGTTAGAGAGTTCTTCTGGAGAATGTACTGCAGCTGGTGTGGAGAACTGTTTAAAGGCAACAGCTGCCTACTTTGTTTCTAGCACTCAGACTTCTTCACAAACTATTTCCAAGATGCTTCAATAATGGAGTCATCCAGAGGAACACCTATAGGCTTTAGAGTACAAAATTTTGCAAACTTCCCACTCTATGCTGATGCACAGGATAAAAACATCCTCTGCACCCATTTCTGACTGCCAGGGCCCTTCCCTCAACAGCCCCGCCCCAATATGGTAGTGTTCTTATTACTCCACATTATGTCATCATCATCACTTCTGAGGAATAGCATAAGGGCCTGCCCAATTTTGTTGCCAGTCATCTTTTCAAGCTTACCCTGTCCACGCTGAGCTCCATCTATTTAAATTGTTCCCCAATCCTGGCTGATGGATGGAGTCACTTGGGAGCATGTGAATAGTATTGCTCTGGGCCTCACTATGGTCACACTGAGATGAGACATCAGGCAGATGGGGCTAAGAATATTTGACATGTCTCCAGGAAACGTTGATGATTTATTTTATTCCTCGATCTCATCTACATGTCCTGCTCTACTGGCTGGCTCGTCTCACACTGTTTTACCAGCCTCACTATTCAATGGTCCTTCTTTTAAAAAACCTCCATCTACCAACCTACCTGAATGAGATTCTGCTCCGGAGTTTAGGACCCAAACATTCGCCCACAAGTCCCCATCATTATTCATCTTGACTGTCACTGCCTGTGGACTAGCATTCATTCTGAGACCATTTAGACCACTTCCCACACAACAATCAAACTGATCTTTGCAAAATACATGTCTAAGTACACTACTTAGAGACCATCCTTGGCCTTGTGCCTTTCCCTGGGTTTCAATCCCCTTTGGTACAGCCTTTCATTTTAGTTACACTGTGCTCATCCAGCCTGCCCTCCTCAGTTCTTTGAATGTTTCATTTTATCTCCCCTTCCCCACTACCTTGGCACATGCTGTTCTCCCAATGCTTACCGTTCAACAAGGAGACTAAGCATATTCTTAAAGCCGGTAAAGCCCAGGCAAGCAAATAATGAGCACGAAAACTTTAAAACATACTTGGAAATTAAAAAGAAGATATTAAAATAGTTATCACAGTGACCAACTTGGTTGGTCTTCATTATTTGGAGGTTCCATTTAGTTAAGTGCTGATTTTCAAACCCATGCTGTGGGAGGGTTGCTGAGGCTTCAGTGATGAGCCCAGTAGACACATGAAGCTTAGAGCCTTTTAAGGAAACAGGAAGTGTCTAAATAATCATACTAATGACCCACTGTTACAATCTGAGACAGTTTCTGAAGGAAAGAGACACAGATATTTTAGGGCTAATAAAAAACAAAGCAACACATCGGGTGACATTTGAAGGACAGGTAAGAAGTTAGCTAGCTGAAAGTGGTGAATGTTCCAGGAGGAAAAATTCTGTGATGCCTATACTGGTAGTTATCAATACCTTCTGCATAAGAAAATCACCTGAGAGTCCGGGTGCGGTGGCTCATGCCTGTAATCCTAGCACTTTGGGAGGCCGAGGCAGGCGGATTGCCTGAGCTCAGGAGTTCGAGACCAGCCTGGGCAACATGGTGAAACCCTGTCTCTACTAAAATACAAAAAACTTAACTAGGTGTGGCAGTGTGCACCTGTAGTCCCAGCTACTCGGGAGGCTGAGGCAGAAGAATTGTTTGAATCTGGGAGGCAGAGGTTGCAGTGAGCTGAGATCGCACAACTGCACTCCAGCCTGGGCAACAGAGTGAGACCATCTCCGGAGGAAAAAAAAAAAAAAAAACGAAAATCACCTGAGAAGCTTAACTTAAAAGCATAAAAGTGCCTGGGCTCTGCCCCCAGAGGTCCCTATTTAATTGGTCTGTGGTAAGCCCAGGCAACGGTGTTTTTAAGAGCTCCACAGGTGACTCCTTTCTGTTGGTGGGACTGTAAACTAGTTCAACCATTGTGGAAGTCAGTGTGGCAATTCCTCAGGGATCTAGAACTAGAAATACCATTTGACCCAGCCATCCCATTACTGGGTATATACCCAAAGGATTATAAATTATGCTGCTATAAAGACACACGCACACGTATGTTTATTGCGGCACTATTCACAATAGCAAAGACTTGGAACCAACCCAAATGTCCACCAATGATAGACTGGATCAAGAAAATGTGGCACATATACACCATGGAATACTATGCAGCCATAAAAAAGGATGAGTTCATGTCCTTTGTAGGGACATGGATGAAGCTGGAAACCATCATTCTCAGCAAACCATCACAAGGACAAAAAACCAAACACCGCATGTTCTCACTCATAGGTGGGAACTGAACAATGAGAACACATGGAAGAGAAAGGGGAACATCATACACTGGGGCCTGTTGTGGGGTGGCGGGAGCGGGGGAGGGATAGCATTAGGAGATATACCTAATGTAAATAACGAGTTAATGGGTGCAGCACACCAACATGGCACATGTATACATACGTAAGAAACCTGCACATTGTGCACATGTACCCTAGAACTTAAAGTATAATAGCAATAAAGAACACGTTAAAAAAAATAAATAATAAATAAATAAATAAATAAAAATAAAAAATAAAATAAAACACATTGCTAAATGCTACCTTCCTCCTAAGTAGGAGGCATTTAAAAAATAAAAATAAAAAAAAAGATGCATGTTGAAATAAAAAAAAACATCAATAGTAAGAAACCAAACTAATTTTAAAATACTGGAGAAAATATTTTACAGATTCTTTGCCAAAGAAGATACACAGATGTCAAATAAATATATAAAATAATTCTTAATATCATTAGTCTTTAGAGAAACGCAAGCTAAAACCACAGTGAGTTACCACTACATAACTATCACAATGATAAGAAAGAAAAAAGAGGCCGGGCGCGGTGGCTCACGCCTGTAATCCCAGCACTTTGGGAGGCCAAGGTGGGTGGATCACGAGGTCAGGAGTTCAAGACCAGCCTGGCCAACATAGTGAAATGCCCTCTCTACTAAAAATAAAAAAAATTAGCTGGGCGTGGTGGCAGGCGCCTGTAATCCCAGCTACTCGGGAGCCTGAGGCAGAAAATTGCTTGAACCCAGGAGGCGGAGGTTTCAGTGAGCCAAAATTGCGCCACTGCATTCCAGCCTGGGCAACAGAGCAAGACTCCATCTCAAAATGGTAAAAAAAGGAAAGAAATAGAGAAGCAAATGAACAAACCAGTTTTTACAATAATAGGTGCTAATAAGGATGTGAAAGGCAAATAGAGCTCTTATACATTGCTGGTAGAAATAAAAATAGGTACAGACGCTTTGGAAAATAATTTAGAGGTGTTTAATAAGGTTAAAAATGCACCTAAAAATTAGCAATTCCACTCCTAGCTATTCACCTAAGAGAAAAGAAAATGTGTCCATATAAATATTTATAATGGCTTTATTCAAAAATCAAGCCAAATGTCCAAATGCTGAATAGATTTTTTAAAAAAAATTTTGGTACACCAATACAATGAAATACTACCCATCAATTAAAAAAATGATCTGAGTGAACTAAGTTGCACAATACTATTGCACTATACTAAATGAAAGAAATCAGATTCAGTGGTTACATATGAGTCTGTTCATATGACATTCTGCAAAGGCTAAACCATAGAGACAGAAGACAAATTAGTGGTTGCCAGGGGCTGGGTGTTGGAGGAAGGGGATTAAATAGGAGGGGGAATGAGGAAACAGTGGGGTGATGGAAGTGCATTATACGTTGTTTGTAGTATGGCTAGCTGACTGCATGCAATTGTCAAAATTCTTGGAACTCTACAAGGGTAAGTGTTATCATGTGTAAAGTATACCTCAATAAAATGACAAAAATTGTAGATAATCAAATGAAGAAAATAATTAAAGTAAGTTTTTAATATAATTCCTCTGACTGTACATTCTCTGTGGCATATATTCAAGGACAAAAATAACTGAAATGAAATGTTACGTATAGTGCAGGATTAATATCCCATTAAGAGATCCTGTACTTATCATACACTATACATAAGATAGTTTCATAATTATACTACCAATTTTAATGCAAATACTAAGCATACTAAATTTAAGATTTGAACTGTAAAAGAGGTATTAATATAAAATTAAAGAAAGTAAACAATCTTGCAATACTAATTTTAATTGAATATAAAATTCACATGTATTATAGCACTCTCTACCTAAAGCAGGTAGAAATAATGACACTTCAATAGGAATGAACAGAGTTCATGTTCAGCTATTGATTTCTAGACATCATTCCACAGTATAAAATATCATAATTTGTTATAGTAATAGCTAATTCCAAGTCCAGGGCAAGGAAAATAAAATGTAGTTTACTTGTTTCTAAGTGCTCAAATACTAAGACCATGTCAGAGGAGCACATGAGCCTGTTAAAGTGGCTCCCATGAAGCAAATTTTGCACATTTGAGTCTATAAAAGAACAATGATGGTAATTAATTGTAATACATTAATCTGAATCTGCTGTGATTCTTGGGGCTGCCCTATTTGTGAATCGTTCATTGCTTAAACTCCTTTAAATTTAATTCGGCTGAAGTTTTTCTTTTAACACTTTCTTTAAATCTAGAACAGGTTCCTCACATTTTGTTTGTTTGGTTGTTCTCATGATAATGACTTTTCTGAAAAATCCAGGTTAGTGAATTTTTTTAAATGAGTTCATAATGATAATAGAGAAGAAACAAGATAGAGAAATAAGAAAATTTTTCTGTAAGAGAATACCAGCTGATAAATTAAGAAGGAATAATAGAATTGGAAAAAATGCCATTTTGCAACCCCTAAGTAATAATTGTAGCAAGTAAGATCATGAAAATATAACATGAAAGGTTAGGGAACAGATTAGTCACACAGTCAAGGTAGTCTTCTGCAAATTATTTACTAATCCCAGAGGAGAAAATCTACCTCACAATGAAGAGATCTTTGCGATCATCACCTTAACCAAGTGGCCTAACTTAGCATCATTATGGGGCAACAGTCTAATATCATGTATATAAAGCACTGAGAAATGTACAACAACACTGATAGAGTATTCTTGCCAAAGCATGTGTAACCTGAATCTAACAATGAAAAAAATTAATCAGGTAACTTCACAAGGTAGAAAATTCCATAAGAAAACGAACCTGGATTCTTCAGAAAAGTAATTATCCTGAGAACAACAAAACAAAATGTGAGGAACCTGTTCTAGATTAAAAGAAACTGTTAAAAGAAAAACTTCAGCCGAATTAAATTTAAAGGAGTTTAAGCAATGAACGATTCACAAACAGGGCAGCCCCAAGAATCACAGCAGATTCAGAGAGACTCCAGGGGTGCCTCCTGGTCAGAATAAATTTATAGACAAAAAAAGTAAAGTGACGTACAGAAATCGGAAGTGAGGTGTAGAAACAACTGGATTGGCTACAGATTGGCGTTTGCCTTATTTAAACACAGTTTAAACACTCAGCAGTGTTATGAGTGGCTGAAATAAGGCTGCTGGGATTGGCCAATCGCTGACCTGCTCGGCGATTGTTACAGGTGCATACTTTTAAGTTAGGTTTTCAATCTTGTCTACCTATTAAGTTAGGTTGCAGTTCATCCTCAAGGACTCAAATATAGAAGTATGGAGTCCTTCTCAGGCCATATTTGGTTTGCTTTAACAAAACTAAAAAGTGATTACAACCAAATGCAATGCATCAATCTTCACTGAATCCTGCAGATAAAGAAAACAAAATACATTTGAAAAATAATTGGGGAATTTTGATATGGAGTTCATATTAAACATAATGCATGTAAATTTGGGCATGTAAAAAATGATGCTGTGCTTCTGAGCTCATACTTAGGAGATGCATGATAAGGTACATAGAAGTGAAATTTCATAGTGTCTGCAACTTACTTGCAAATTGTTCAGCAAAAATACATAAATAAATAAATAAATAGGAGATATTGAGGGAAAATAATGGCAAAGTGGGAACAATTGATAAGTCTAGATTAGGGTATATACTTTTTTTATTGTACTAGTCTTTATCTTTTATGTAAATTTTGAAACTTTCAAAACAAAATGTTTGGAGAGAAAAAAAAATAACTCTCGATCCCGATGAAGCAAAGGCCTGAGAGATGTATTGGCATCGCATTGGAAAATGCATCTCTGTGTGGCGGTTGGGAGAAAGAGGTTAGCCGCTGCGGTTGCTGACCTGTGAGGGGCTGACGTTGATGTAAAAACCCGAGGCGCTGATTTCCATGCCTAACGTTCTATTGCCCAAGGCCAGAATGCGGACTTCGCATTTTTCCCAATTGAGAATTTGGAAGATGCATGTAGCACTGAACAACAGAAGTCTGTGCTTCCCAGCAGTTTCAGCAAAGGCAGGGGGCCAAAACGTTATTAATTTTAATTCTAGCTAAACCACTGGCAAAAATGGGTGGCTCCCCTCAAATTCCACGGGAATGGATGGAAAGCACAGGCTTCTTTGGAAACCTGAAGCAGGATTTCAGCGGGATTGTTTTGGGAAGTCACATTTATGTCATTAATTAGTTTAACAAACAAGCTTACCATCACTCGTTTTAGCCTAATCATTAGCATCACATCTAATCAAATTTAGGTCTAAGAGGAAATAAAGACTTGGTATGTAATTCTGTTTGCTTTCTTTTATTTTGACAAGCATTTGTGGAAGTATTTTTTTCTCTCTCTTTTGCTAGATATTTTATGGAGAGCTAGATGTTCTTCAAAGAATATTGTGGAGAGAGGGGGCTATGGTTGGACAGAGAGATAAAAACAGCAAGTTTTCCAATTAAACAAATGAAGAAAGTTACCCAAGCCATGCATATACACTAAGGGCCCATCCCCATCAAGAGACTCAATCCACTCCACTTCAATTGTAAGAGTATGCTTTTAATACTCAATTTTAATGAAATTCAAGCAAAGCTTTTTGTTGCTCAATCTCTTTAACCAGGTGCCAAAAATCTGGCCAAATGTATGGAGGCAGATTCTTCCTCTTTGAACCACCACAAGGACTTTGATGTTTATGCCGAGTAGAAGGATTCTAGCTTGATTATCCTTTCTTCCAAAAGACCATCCCTTTCTTGGTAAGGAGCATGCTGCCTGATTTATCCAGCTTGGAAGGACACCATGAACTTGGCCTTCCAAACCTACTTATTAAAAATCCCTTCCCTTTTTTGGTCAGCCGTAAGAATCACAAAGATTCTCACACAACAAAGTAATTAACTGTTGCCAATTTTTTCTGAAAAAATAATTACGTTTAAGATAACTCATATATACTTTTTATTGGCATTTTCTGTTTATTATTATACCTTTTAAACAGCAACAAAACTAAAACTCTATCCCTTTGACACTAGATTTTATAATTTGAAAAATGAGTTTGCCTTGTGCTTCCAAATCCACCTGATGTTTCTTCGGACAAATTGTTACACAATGTATTGCCTGTTGTTCTCAAGCCTTAACTGTATAATTTAAAAGTATAACTAATATATTCCTATGAAAATTTATGTAAATACCTCAATGCATGACATTTTTTAACAAGTTACTACATATAGTACCCCATTCCTGCTGGCACTCAGTGCAAACATCTTGTCTTAATTCAACAGTTCAAATTTTCTTCAGACTTTGATTACCCTTGATTAATTTCTCAATCCCAGCTGACACCATTCTAAAAGGTTAAAAAAAAATTAATCACTCCAATGTCATTCCAGATAAGACAAGCACAGGTTTTAAAATGCTTGTTAGGCATGTGGAGTGGAATTTAAGACATCCTATATATAAAATTATCACACAGAAATTGGGAAATTAGTCACGGACCCAGGCACTAGAAAAACATGTTTGCTTTTTGACACCTCTGCAAGGTAAATTTCATTATTCCCTCATTAAGGGTTATATAGAGTAGTTACACAGCACCCATGGTCATCAGTTGTAAAGAGAATACTAGCCACGTTGTTTATTTTATACGTAAGTACAGCCAACCAAACATGCTTAACCACTTACAGCAGTTTATTGACACTGGCGAGAAACAACAATTTAGAAAAGCAAATGATGCAAATTGTATATGGTGGAGTTCTCAAGATTTCTGCCCCCCAACAAATTTTATTTAGAAACAGCTTTGTAACATTGAAAACATGCCAAAAATTTGGAAAGTAACAAGCAATCAGGTATTTTTTCCACCTAAAGTTATAATTTGGTTATGTGCCAATCTCAAACAGTAGATTTTTCAAATTCAACCAGTTTCGTTCATCAGAACGTGAAGATCTATTCAACAATGACTATATAGAGATATTTATTAGGTCTTCAAGCCTGAACTAGTGAGCAGAAATCAAGCAAAAGCTGTGCACAGAGCAGCATTATAATCACCAAATTTCAAAGCAAGAAAAGAACGCTAATATCATTAACATATTTTGTTTTAGTTTTGACCAAATACTATAGTTAAATGTATGTTATATATGGAAATAAAAATTAGTTTCAGTTTGCAAGTACCCATATAAATAGATTTCCTTTAAAAGATAACATGGGAATTTTATGTGTATTGTAGCACTGCATAGTATGATATATGATACAATATAATATAATTATTATTTCATTATTTATCATTACTGCATTACAGGGTCTCATCAGTCAACATGTTAGCACGGAGGCAATGTTACACAGGAGATGAGAATATGACCAAACTGTATTTTGTCCTGCTATTTACTGGGTCTGTTACCTTTGGCATGTTCATTAACCTCCTGCTGCCCAAGTCTCCCCATTTGAAAAATAGGGATAATAGGGGTAGAGCCAAGATGGCTGAACAGGAACAGCTCCAGTCTTCAGGTCCCAGCATGAGCAACGCAGAAGATGGGTGATTTCTGCATTTCCAACTGAGGTTTGAAGAGAGTAGTGGTTCTCCCAGCACGCAGCTGGAGATCTGAGAATGGACGGACTGCCTCCTCAAGTGGGTCCCTGACCCCCGAGTAGACTAACTGGGAGGCACCCCCGAGTAGGGACAGAATGACACCTCACACAGCCGGGTACTCCTCTGAGACAAAACTCCCAGAGGAACAATCAGGCAGCAACATTTGCTGTTCACCAATATCCACTGTTGTGCAGCCTCCGCAGCTGATACCCAGGCAAACAGGGTCTGGCGTGGACCTCCAGCAAACTCCAGCAGACCTGCAGCTGAGGGTCCTGACTGTTAGAAGGAAAACTAACAAACAGAAAGGACATCCACACCAAAACCCCATCTGTACGTCACCATCAAAACCAAAGGTAGATAAAACCACAAAGATGGGGAAAAAACAGAGCAGAAAAACTGGAAACTCTAAAAATCAGAGGGCCTCTCCTCCTCCAAAGGCATGCAGCTCCTCACCAGCAACAGAACAAAGCTGGACAGAGAATGACTTGACGTGCTGAGAGAAGAAGGCTTCAGACAATCAAACTACTCCGACCTAAAAGAGGAAGTTGGAACCCATGGCAAAGAAGTTAAAAACCTTGAAAAAAAATTAGACGAATGGCTAACTAGAATAACCAATGCAGAGAAATCCTTAAAGGACCTGATGGAACTGAAAACCACAGCATGAGAACTATGCGATGAATGCACAGCCTCAGTAGCCGATTCAATCAACTGGAAGAAAGGGTATCAGTGATGGAAGATCAAATGAATGAAAGGAAGCAAGAAGAGAAATTTAGAGAAAAAAGAATAAAAAGAAACAAACAAAGCCTCCAAGAAATATGGGACTATGTGAAAAGACCAAATCTATGTCTGATTGGTGTACCTGAAAGTGACGGGGAGAATGGAACCAAGTTGGAAAACACTCTGCAGGATATTATCCAGGAGAACTTCCCCAATCTAGCAAGGCAGGCCAAGATTCACATACAGGAAATACAGAGAACGCCACAAAGATACTCCTCGAGAAGAGCAACTCCAAGACACTTATTTGTCAGATTCACCAAAGTTGAAATGAAGGAAAAAATGTTAAGGGCAGCCAGAGAGAAAGGTCGGGTTACTCACAAAGGGAAGCCCATCAGACTAACAGTGGATCTCTCGGCAGAAACTCTACAAGCCAGAAGAGAGTGGGGGCCAATATTCAACATTCTTAAAGAAAAGAATGTTCACCCCAGAATTTCATATCCAGCCAAAGTAAGCTTCATAAGTGAAGGAGAAATAAAATCCTTTACAGACAAGCAAATGCTGAGAGATTTTGTCACCACCAGGCCTGCCCTAAAAGAGCTCCTGAAGGAAGCTCTAAACGTGGAAAAGAACAACCGGTACCAGCCACTGCAAAAACATGCCAAATTATAAAGACCATTGAGGCTAGGAAGAAACTGCATCAACTAATGAGCAAAATAACCAGCTAACATCATAATGACAGGATCAAATTCACACATAACAATATTAACCTTAAATGTAAATGGGTTAAATGCCCCAATTAAAAGACACAGACTGGCAAATTGGATAAAGAGTTAAGACCCATCAGTGTGCTGTATTCAGGAAACCCATCTCATGTGCAGAGACACATATAGGCTCAAAATAAAGGGATGGAGGAAGATCTACCAAGCAAATGGAAACCAAAAAAAGGCAGGGGTCGCAATCCCAGTCTCTGATAAAACAGACTTTAAACCAACAAAGATCAAAAGAGACAAAGAAGGCCATTACATAATGGTAAAGGGATCCATTCAACAAGAAGAGCTAACTATCCTAAATATATATGCACCCAATACAGGAGCACCCAGATTCATAAAGCAAGTCCTTAGTGACCTACAAAGAGACTTAGACTCCCACACAATAATAATGGGAGACTTTAACACCCCACTGTCAACATTAGACAGATCAATGAGACAGAAGGTTAACAAGGATATCCAGGAATTGAACTCAGCTCTGCACCAAGCAGACCTAATAGACATCTACAGAACTCTCCACCCCAAATCAACAGAATATACGTTCTTCTCAGCACCACACCACACCTATTACAAAATTGACCACATAGTTGGAAGTAAAGCACTCCTCAGCAAATGTAAAAGAATAGAAATTATAACAAACTGTCTCTCAGACCACAGTGCAATCAAACTAGAACTCAGGATTAAGAAACTCACTCAAAACCGCTCAACTACATGGAAACGGAACAACCTGCTCCTGAATGACTACTGGGTACATAACGAAATCAAGGCAGAAATAAAGATGTTCTTTGAAACCAGTGAGAACAAAGACACAACAAACCAGAATCTCTGGGACACATTCAAAGCAGTGTGTAGAGAGAAATTTATAGCACTAAATGCCCACAAGAGAAAGCAGGAAAGATCTAAAATTGACACCCTAACATCACAATTAAAAGAACTAGAGAAGCAAAAGCAAACACATTCAAAAGCTAGCAGAAGGCAAGAAATAACTAAGATCAGAGCAGAACTGAAGGAAATAGAGACACAAAAAAACCTTCAAAAAATCAATGAGTCCAGGAGCTGGTTTTTTGAAAAGATCAACAAAATTGATAGACTGCTAGCAAGACTAATAAAGAAGAAAAGAGAGAAGAATCAAATAGAAGCAATAAAAAAATGATAAAGGGGATATCACCACCGATCCCACAGAAATACAAATCACCATCAGAGAATACTATAAACACCTCTACACAAATAAACTAGAAAACTAGAAGAAATGGATAAATTCCTCGACACATACACCCTCCCAAGACTAAACCAGGAAGAAGTTGAATCTCTGAATAGACCAATAACAGGCTCTGAAATTGAGGCAATAATTAATAGCTTACCAACCAGAAAAAGTCCAGGACCAGATGGATTCACAGCCGAATTCTACCAGAGGTACAAGGAGGAGCTGGTACCATTCCTTCTGAAACTATTCCAATCAATAGAAAAAGAGGGAATCCTCCCTGACTCATTTTATGAGGCCAGCATCATCCTGATACCAAAGCCTGGCAGAGACACAACCAAAAAAGAGAATTTTAGACCAATATCCCTGATGAACACTGATGCAAAAATCCTCAATAAAATACTGGCAAACCGAATCCAGCAGCACATCAAAAAGCTTATCCACCATGATCAAGTGGGCTTCATCCCTGGGATGCAAGGCTGGTTCAACATACACAAATCAATAAACGTAATCCAGCATATAAACAGAACCAAAGACAAAAACCACATGACTATCTCAATAGATGCAGAAAAGGCCTTTGACAAAATTCAACAACCCCTTCATGCTAAAAACTCTCAATAAATTAGGTATTGATGGGACGTATCTCAAAACAATAAGAGTTATCTATGACAAACCCACAGCCAATATCATACTGAATGTGCAAAAACTGGAAGCATTCCCTTTGAAAACTGGCCCAAGACAGGGATGCCCTCTCTCACCACTCCTATTCAACATAGTGTTGGAAGTTCTCGCCAGGGAAATCAGGCAGGAGAAAGAAATAAAGGGTATTGAATTAGGAAAAGAGGAAGTCAAATTGTCCCTGTTTGCAGATGCCATGATTGTATATCTAGAAAACCCCATCATCTCAGCGCAAAATCTCCTTAAGCTGATAGGCAACTTCAACAAAGTCTCAGGATACAAAATCAATGTGCAAAAATCACAAGCATTCTTATACACCAACAACAGACAAACAGCCAAACCATGAGTGAAGTCCCATTCACAATTGCTTCAAAGAGAATAAAATACCTAGGAATCCAACTTACAAGGGATGTGAAGGACCTCTTCAAGGAGAACTACAAACCACTGCTCAATGAAATAAAAGAGGATACAAACAAATGGAAGAACTTTCCATGCTCATGGGTAGGAAGAATCAATATCGTGAAAATGGCCATACTGTTCAAGGTAATTTATATATTCAATGCCATCCCCATCAAGCTAACAATGACTTTCTTCACAGAATTGGAAAAAACTACTTTAAAGTTCATATGGAACCAAAAAAGAGCCCGCATTGCCAAGTCAATACTAAGCCAAAAGAAGAAAGCTGGAGGCATCACGCTACCTGACTTCAAACTATACTACAAGGCTACAGTAACCAAAACAGCATGGTACTGGTACCAAAACAGAGATATAGACCAATGGAACAGAACAGAGCTCTCAGAAATAATGCCGCATATCTACAGCTATCTGATCTTTGACAAACCTGACAAAAACAAGAAATGGGGAAACAATTCCCTATTTAATAAATGGTGCTGGGAAAACTGGCTAGCCATATGTAGAAAGCTGAAACTGTATCCCTTCCTTATACCTTATAAAAAAATTAATTCAAATGGATTAAAGACTTAAATGTTGGACCTAAAACCATAAAAACCCTAGAAGAAAACCTAGGCAATACCATTCAGGACATAGGCATGGGCAAGGACTTCATGTCTAAAACACCAAAAGCAATGGCAACAAAAGCCAAAACTGACAAATGGGATCTAATTAAACTAAAGGGCTTCTGCACAGCAAAAGAAACTACCATCAGAGTGAACAGGCAACCTACAGAATGGGAGAAAATTTTTGCAATCTACTCATCTGACAAAGGGCTAATATCCAGAATCTACAATGAACTCCAACAAATTTACAAGAAAAAAACAAACAACCCCATCAAAAAGTAGGCGAGGGATATGAACAGACACTTCTCAAAAGAAGATATTTATGCAGCCAAAAGACACATGAAAAAATGCTCATCATCACTGGCCATCAGAGAAATGCAAATCAAAACCACAATGAGATACCATCTCACACCAGTTAGAATGGCGATCATTAAAAAGTCAGGAAACAACAGGTGCTGGAGAGGATGTGGAGAAACAGGAACACTTTTACACTGCTGGTGGGACTGTAAACTAGTTCAACTATTGTGGAAGTCAGTGTGGTGATTCCTCAGGGATCTAGAACTAGAAATACCATTTGACCCAGCAATCCCATTACTGGGTCTATACCCAAAGGATTATAAATCATGCTGCTATAAAGACACATGCACATGTATGTTTATTGTGGCACTATTCACAATAGCAAAGACTTGGAACCAATCCAAATGTCCACCAATGATAGACTGGATTAAGAAAATGTGGCATATATACAACATGGAATACTATGCAGCCATAAAAAAGGATGAGTTCATGTCCTTTGTAGGGACATGGATGAAGCTGGAAACCATCAATCTCAGCAAACTATCACAAGGACAAAAAACCAAACACCGCATGTTCTCACTCATAGGTGGGAATTGAACAATGAGAACACATGGACACAGGAAGGGGAACATCACACACTGGGGCCTGTTGTGGGGTTGGGGGAGTGGGGAGGGATAGCATCAGGAGATATACCTAATGTTAAATGACAAGTTAATGGGTGCAGCACACCAACATGGCACATATATATACATATGTAACAAACCTGCATGTTGTTGTGCACATGTACCCTAAAACTTAAAGTATAATAAAAAAAGAAAAATAGGAATAATAATATCTTCTCTTAAGTAGACCATATGAAAATTTGAACAAAAAAAATTTGTGAAATCACTAACACAATTCCTAGCACATAATACACAATTACTGATAGCATTTCTTTTTTACTCTAGACGATTTCTTTCTAGAATAGTATTCAATTTGGTTCACAGTACTAATACATTTACTGCTGACAGATATTATGAGAAACTTTGATTTTTGCTGAACTCATCTTACATCTGTCTAGGCAATAAGAGTGATGTGTGCCTGCTAAGTCTTGGTATTCTCATGGACAAGAAAGGTAGTATTTGCATGCCAAGCGTATTATATTTGGTTATCTCATTATTTCTCACAATAATCATGTGAGGCAGGAACCATGATTCTTTCGATTCTTTAGATGAGAACCTAAGGGTAAAATGTTTCCTAAGGTTACATAGGCAGTCAAGTGGTGGAAGGAGCATTCAAATATGTGAAATCTGAAGTTAGATAATAATCACCAACTTTTAGTATCTCTCAGGCTGTATGTTAATTTATTTAAATTACATGGTTGAAGGGGAAACAGCATTTAGAGGGTGGAGAATAGGGAGGAAGCATGTGCCTGGGGCTCACACTATGGAGAGAGAAGAGGGGGAGCTCAGTGAAGTTTGTGGTTTGCATTTATGCACCTGCAGGACAACAGAAACATCTGATTCAAGAACGCGGGTCTCCTGGCTGAGTTGGCAGCCATCGCGTCTGTATACACTGCATGCATTTGAGTCGCAGTCAAAGTCTGCTCATGATTATGTCTTCTGATCCCAGAGTGTGAAAACGAAATCCAGATTCTTGTAGCTAACATATTACACTCCAAGTTAGATATCCATTGTAACAAGGAGAAGACAGTGGGATTAAATATCTACTATGTCTATGGCAACAAACTGTTCTGCCATGAGGCTTTTGGCCAAAATCAGCAACTGATCTGGAGATCACTGTTGTGCAGAATTTGAACTTGATGGAGTGTGAGGTAGTCCTAGTACTTAGTGTTTAACTCACTTAATCCTCACACAAATTCTACATGATAGTACTATAACCAACTCTGCTTAGATGAGGAAACTGAGGCAGGCAGATCTGAAACATCCCTCACATTAGTCAACAATGGGTTTGGGCAGGATTGAAGCTGGGCAGTTTGATAGTACAGCCTGGTCTTCTAATCCCCACAGAACACTCATGCGTGGGGAGGAAAGTACCTGGTCCTTGGCCCTTTAAATTAATGAAATTATCATGACACTCACACACATATGAGCACACTCATGCACCTTCACACTTTACTTTTGCCTCAAGGATGTGGGTAGTTTTAGAATTTAAAAAAAAAAAAAAAGTGGTTCCCAGGACTAGGGGCAGGATATGAGGGGGAGTTATTATTTAATGGCATGGAGTTTCAGTTGGGGAAGATGAGAAATTTCTGGAGCTAGATGGCGGTGATGGTTGCACAACAATATAAGTGTACTTAAAGCCACTGAACTGTCACTCAAAAATTGTTAAAATGATCAATTCTATGTTGCGCATATTTATCACAATGACAAAAAGTAGGAGTTAAAGAAGAGAAGTTAAATGAGGTTTACCAGCCCAAAGTGTTGACTGTGCCAATGCTGAGAAACTCTGGGTTACAGGGTTAAACAGGTGAGTCTTATAGAGGTGACCAGATGAGTGGCAGTGTTCTGCTACACCGTGAGTTGATTTAACTGGTTTTATTTTTAGACCTTGAGTTTTGTTGTTTGCTATTTTATCTTTCCCAGAGAGAATATAAGATAGAGTTCTGTTAAGCTCCTGGGAAATTGAGCAGGTTCTAAAGGAAGAGTGTTTGTTTCTGTAGCACTTTGAATTTCCATGGCTTGTAATACAGTTTTCAATAAATAAGGATAGTAATTGTGGCCAGATACAGTGGCTTCTGGCTGAAGTGGCCTTGTCATCTCTCAGTGTTTTTTGCGAGAAGACCGATATATAGACAATATTATCTTTTCTAGATTATTCAGAATTACAGAATAAGCTTTAAGTGAGAACAGAATTTCAAATTTAGATGATAATTTTTGCCCACTAATCAATAAGGTGGAAAAAGAGGACAAAAACTTTGAAAATAACTAAAACCCAAAACTGAGGCATTCAGGCCTCTGTCCATAAGGATTCCATCTCTCAGTGAATCAAAACCTTACCCTTGAAGGTCAAAGTTTTCATACCAACCAAGATAAATAAAACTATTAATTTTTTTTCAAAACATCTGTTAGAAATATCACTCCACATACCTGCTGCTTTTAAAAAATCCAGTCTTAAAAATGGAAAATAAAATTTAATACTGTGTTATTACTTACAGTTGTAATTGGCAGAGTTTCTAGCTGCCTTCTGAATTTTCAAGCACCACCCAGACTTGTTTTTCTTTCAAAAAGGATTTTTCCCTTAAGGTGTTATGAAGATCTCCAAGTAGAATTGCACGCAGTCCTGTGAAGGATAGATGTTATTTTTTTCACCTCCAGTTTGATTTTTTTAATGCTAACTTTGTAATTTGCCACAAAGAAAAGGTTCTGTATATAATATTGGTATTCTGTTATAGGATTTACACCACACATATTTGTATGGGCCTGTGCCTGGGAATCTTACCTAAATCCTTTATCCCTGCAGTTCCCACTGAGGACTTTATCTTTAGATCCAAAGTGCTAGAAAATCTTCTGTGATATTTAAACTTTTAGTCTGTAAAGCTGCTAATGTTGATAATAATGCAGATATATAAGAAAAAGCCAAGCAGAGTTTTAAAAATATTTTTGAGAGACCCAAACTATTTCTAGAAGTCTCAGCGGACTTTCATTAATCCATTCAACAAATATATGATGAGCACCATTTGTTTGCCAGACACTGTTTTGGACAACAGAAAAAACAGAAGTGAACAAGACAAGATTCAGCTCCGCCCTTGTGAAATGATTTTTTTGCAATGGAGTCAGACCTTATACCACCAGTTTGAACAATAACTCATTAAACTTTGAATGAGTTCTCCTTATTAAGTACTTCAAAGAGAAGTATGAAAGTTTATCTGGAAGATTAAACTTGGAGAAATGGATGTTTGAGCTTAGTGCCACCCATGGCCCCAGGCAAGAGTCACCACAACCAGCACTTCAAAGAAGCCCACACCTCCATTCTAGACCAGGCTCGGGGTGCCCTGTACCTCTGAATTACTGAAAGCACCTCAAGCCTCTTCCCTGGGTCTATCATGCCAGTGGGAACTAAGACAAATAGGTACACCCCAAGGCTTCAGGGTGATGACCAAGAGAGTTTGCTTGCAATGTGTGTATGTGTGGATTTTGACGTACACACTGGGATATTCACAAGCTCTTCCTTTCATGATGAGAGGAGCCAAGGATGGGGAAAGTAGAAAGATGAGGCTTCGGCCACAAGTCAGGAGTCCCTGTTCTTACACCACAGCACTCCCATGTGAAACTGCATGGAATCTGAGAAGTCTAAATTCTGTCTATAGCATGTGTTTCCATTTGCATTCTTGCTTCCAGCCCTAAAAATGTTAGGGGTGGGGCCATCTGATCTGGGCTTTGCAAGACAAGTTGAAACTAAGCAAGAAGAAAGCCTCTACACAGGAGGCCCACACGTGTCAGGGCTCTGAGGTAGAGAGAAAATGATGTGTCTGAGGAACTGAGAGGCACACAGAGAGGCTTGACTAAAGAGCAGTACAGGGCCAGAAGAAAAGCCTCCCCTGCAGGACAGCCTTAGGAAGCAGCATATTTTATGCCCATAAATGAAGGTCTCCATAGCATATTTTTGAGTAGGTGTGAAAAATTATAAAAAGATTTGCATTGCTATGCTGTAATTTCAACATAATATGTACAAAAAATTGAGACAGATGTTTTTAAAATACTTTTCTTTCAAATTCTGAATGATCAGCATCCCGTTATCACAGTTCTTTTGGACAAATACCATAAATAGGATGGCTTATAAACAACAGAAATTTATTCACAGTTTTGGAAGCTTAGAAGTCCAAGATTAAGATGCCAGCATACTCAGTGTCTAGTGAGGACTCACTTCCTGGTTCGCAGATGGCACCTTGTCACTGTGTCCTTGTGGTGGAAGACACAAACACTTCCTGCTTCTTTTATAAGGACACTCATTCCATTTAGGGCGGGTCTCCTCCCATGACCCAATCATGTCCCAAAAAGGCCCCATCTCTTAATATCATCAATTTGTGGATGAGGATTTCAACACATGAATTTTGGGGAACACGCATGCAGACCATAGCACCCATTATCTTCGTATTCCTATGAAATGTGAACAGTCATTTCCCATGTCCCCCGAGTCTCAGGCCTAGGATGTGGGGTCTGTTCCCCTCCACTACTCCAGCTGTTTTTACATTGAACAAATATTCATAATATTCATTCATCTCTTTACTCATTTAATTCAGCCATAGTTTATTAAGCTGCAATATAGGAATGATAATATATTAATAGAGAGGTGGGAAGGATGAAATAAATTTTTATATGTGTATGTGTATATATATTTATATATAAATTTCTACATAAATATTTAATGTTTAATATTTTAATTTATCAATATTTTAATACTTAATATTTATAAAGATATATAAATAAATTTATAATGTATATAGTATAATTTTTATATAATATTGTTTTATATTATATATTTTAAAATTGTATATAATTACATATATTAACATATACATTTATACATAATATATGTGAACATATAAATTATATTATATAAATTCTCATATGTAAATTATATATAATATATATTTTATATAATATAATTATATATTATACATTTATATGGAAATTATGTATGATTTATAGGTTATTTATATAATTTTATATAAATTATAAGTTTATATATAAGCAAATTTATTTTTATATAAATATACATATTTACACACACACATATATATTGCTTAGAACAGCACTAGGAAACCACTAGGCACACAATAGGATGATATGCACCAATTAGCAGGAAAATTCTTAAGAACAAGAATTACTTGTTCTTAAGACCAGAAAGGAAAAGACAGCTACACTACTTGACCAAAGGGATGAAGGCATGGAGTAGAATGCTGTGTTAGGGAAGAATGAGCCATCAGTGTGACAAAGAATGGCTGGGTCTAGTGTTGGGAGATGGGCCTGATAGGAATGAGATTAAGGAGGGACTTGGATCCCATGCTAAGGAGTTGGGCTTTTATTCAGCAGGGCAGTGTTTCTCAAAGTGTGGCCCTCGGACATTAGAATCCCCTGTGTGGCTTCTTAAAAATGAGGACCCCTGCCTCCTATTCTCCACCCCAATAATGAGTTGGAATGTAAGGCCTGGGACATTTTAACAGGCTTTCCAGGTGATTCTTGTTTATAGTCATGGTTGAGATACTGAGATACCATGAAGAGTCAAAGTATGTTTTCTAAACATATAGTTTGTACAATAAGCTTTGTCTTAGACAAGTGGCTGGCTATACCCATACATACTATGGGCAGTAGCAAGAAAGCTCCTCTTCCAGAAGAAAAACATGTATTTGTTACAGAAGTGTGAGTTTCCCTTTAAGAAAATAAATTCGTGTAAGATGCTTGTTGCCAGATATGTTAAGCCAAAGGGGAAAAAAATCTCAAAGCAAATACACTTTTTGCTAGCAAAATATGTTCCCTCATTGTTCCCTAAGATTCTGACATTTGAGGGAAAAAAGATACTAAATTCTCCTAGAAATAATAAGACTTGTTGGTTTTTCTCTATTATGCAATACAGACCTCTAACCTAAATTAACCTCAAGGTTAATTTACACTTTAGGTAATAGAAATTACAAAACAATGGCTGGAATGAAAAATGATAATGTTTCACATTTCTATGAGTTAATTTCAATGAAAATGCAACATTATCAAACCTTCTTTAAGAGATGCATCATCCTAAAATGTTATATATTGCTCAATACAAGCTCCTGTGTTTAATATTTTTACAGTTTTACGATTTCCTTCCCCATGAGCTTGACTATTTAATAAAGAATTAAAGACATTTTGCTAAAACCTAAACATATCACAAAGTTCTTTGTTAATTATTACCCTTTGTAAGATGGATCATCACCTTTCATAATATGGAATATGTATAAAAACATACATTTTCAAAGTGTGTTTAACAATATGGGACTTTTACAAATTATAAGAATTTAATATATTTGTATTAATGATATATTTATGATCTTTAGCTTATAAAAAATAGATCCCCAAGTGTAGATTAAAGATTAGAAGAACATAAAATAGTAGTTAACCCTGTGATCCTAGGGATGGTGATATTATGGATTTTTACCTCCTGCTTTGTGCTTTTCTGTAATTTGAAAACTTCTAAAATAAAGTTACCTTAGTTTTATAACTTTAAAAAGGCCCCAAATGTGCATAACGTGGCGGGGAGCAAGATGCAAGGAGCAGAGATGAGACGGAGCAGTGGCGTGGTGAATAGCTTGTGCGGGGAGAAAGATGAGAGCTCCCCCAGCCAACTGCAGAAACCCCTTCTCCCTCTTTGTGCTCCTGTATCTTCGTTGAGAGGGCCCATCCTCCACTAAACAGGGAGTTCCCTGAGGTCAGCAACTGCTTAGAAACTGGTACCTTTAAGATAACACCGAATCTGGCCTAGAGATGTTCCATAGCGGCTTGCTGTAACTGGTCTCCAGTTCTTCAGAAGCTTCCTCTGACATCCCATCTGGCTGAGTCAAGATTTCTGGGACTCTGGATCCTGCTGTTTAAAGATGGCTACCTCACTTTGTGAGCTGATTGCCAGCCCCCGCAGGGTGAAGAGAAATGATCTCATGTTCCACTCCAGAGAGCTATAGACAGGGCTAGCTAACCAGGTGTTAGGATCCAAGGAGAGGGCTCCCTGCTCTGAAATATCCACATGGGTTCCTGGCATTTTACCATCATAACTTCATTCCTTTGGGGGTTGAATTCTTGTAACAATCCCTATTAAAATGCAAATGCCTCTGGGAGGCGTTAAGCCCTTGTCAGCAAACACCTTGCTTATTAGCTAACACCTGAGCCAACAGCCATCTGAGAGCACGTGCCTATTGGGAAATCAGTTCCTAGAGAGGTGGGGAAATAGAGGGGGCAGCTGGAGGACAGCTGAAGGACCTTAGGGTGATGAAGCTCAAACTGTCAGATTTCCAGGACTGGATCTGGCACTAGGAGTGGGTTAGGAATGTCAGTTGTCAGTGAGCACTCCAAACAGGTGGTGGAGAGGGTTGAAGGGGTCTATCTTTCTTGGGCCTGGTGGTCAAGGTACAGGCCCAGGTGGGGCATATGGCAGGTGGGTGTGCTCCTGGCCTGAGTGCCCTCAGCCTTCCAGGTAGTTTTGATACAGACAGGAAACAGGAAAATACTGGGTAGAAGAGGCCAGTTCCCCAGCAAAGGCCCTACCTTCAAGCCTGAAGACCCATGGTCTTAAATGAGGACAGGCATTCCTGTTTTCACGCCCAAAAAGTTGCCTTTTGGCCTGCCACACCCCCTATGCTGCACCCATATACATCCCGAACCCCAGGCTCCAGAAGCCGACCATCAAGCCAGCAGACCAGCAGAGGGATGGTGGAACAACACAACAGAGAAAGACAGAAGAGGAGGATCGTCTGAATGCCGAGAGGAGTCTGGCTGGGTTGGTTAGAGAGGAGTCCAGCCACTGGGTGGCCTGACTCCAGGGGAAGATTACCATCCCACTCCAACCCCCGCTTTCGGTTCCCCATCCATTCCACTGAAAGCCACCTCCACCACTCAATAAAACCTCACATTCACCCTTCAAGCCTGAGTGTGACCCAATTTTTCCAGGATGCTGGGCAAGAGCTCAGGATACAGAAAGCTGTCACACTGGTCTTCTGCCTTTGCAAAAAAGCAGAGGGTCCATTGAGCTGGCTAACACTCAAGCCATCTGTAGATAGCAAAGCTGAAAGAGCTTTGTAACTCTGGGGTTGCAAGCACCCACCCCTAGACACTACCACGGGGCCAGAGCCCAAAGCACTCCCCCTGCCTCTGCACCTGCCTGTCTGCATGCTCCCCCTCCAGCTAGGGGTTTGATAGGCAAGTGAGCCTGTCCTATAGGCAGGTGAGCACGTCCTGCAAGGGGGATCAGGGAACTCTCCTATTTCAGTTTTACTTTCTTGTCAAGTCCCATACATAAATACAGGATTTCAAAATGTATTGAGAGAGGGTTTTTTCATATTTTTATTCTTTTTAAATAAGATTGTGGCTTTTTGAGTCATACGCATTAAGTTTCAGTGTTTGGTTAGTGCTGCACCTCAGCGTTCAAATTAATAATATGTCAGCTGTTTACTCCTTTGCCTTCCATCAATCAAATAACACACGTTTACCTCCTGTCATTTCTTTTCAAACACCGAAACCTGCATTTCCTAAGTATTTTTTAAACTGTTCCCTGAAAGCCTTCCTGTTGGTCTGTGTCTTTGTGGAAATCCCACGAATATAGAGAAAGACGCTGAATTTTCCTACTTTCATATTATTCGTCACCACAGGAGAGCTAAATGGCACTCTGGATTAAGATTGCATGAATAGTTTTCAAATATTTGGGGTTCAAAAAACCCAAAATGTGTTTTGCCAAAACATTTGCTTTCCTCGTTTTTTTAAGCCTATGTTTATTTCAAGGAGCATTAATTCCATGTGTTTTTAATGCATTTACACTCAGTTCATTAAAATGCTACTCTCTAACATGTTTTTGGCGTCCGAGAGCCCCAGCAGGCCCTTCTACTTTGAGCGGGTTGGTGTGCTGGGCGCCCGAGCGCAGAAGCGGGAATGGTTCACGCTCAGCCCTTCCCGGACCCCACTAGGTCCAGGCCCTGCCGGGTCTGGCACGGCGCACTGCCACCCCAGGCCCTGGCGCCAGGGTGCCGTCAGACTCTGCTGGGCACAGGGACCAATTATTAATAGTAGTCAGGAAGGTCCTTGCCATTTTAGCGCTTGGGTCAGAACTGAGTGTTTCGAAATTCCAGCCCTGCCTCCGTGAATCTTGGTAACCCTGAGGACTTGAGAGCCAAGCCCCCTGCAGCCCACATGACCCTATTAAATATCAATATTGAGACCAAGGGGGTGATTAGGAGCGGAGAATACCTCCATTGTCTCTGTTTCGGTAGCAGTGGGGAATGAATCCAACCTTGAGAAAAGTGAATGCAGAACTGGAATCTGAAATTGCTTAGTAAGTAGCAGACGGTACCCTTGATCCGTCCTTTCGCCATTTTCTTCGGGATGCATTGGCCTATCCCAAATGGGATGGTATTTCTGAAAGGCGTGGAGTACAGATAGGACTGTAGGAAGAAGGATGACTGGTGCTGCTGGACTAGCTCAGGGTAGACTCTTTCCAAAATTAAACATCTCCATGCGTGTTTCTGGTGGTTTTCCACATGTCAACCACTGGACTAAATTCCCTACATATTCTCCGCACTTTGCAATTGAGCAAAATGAGGTGCAGAAGAAAGGGACTTGCCTCAGGTCCTCAGCAGCACCACAGTCATGGTGGCTTTGCTTTGACGCTCTCACACCTGCTACATTGCTGTCTCCCAGGAGAGTCCAGGCCAGATGCTGCTCCTACCTTCACATGAAAGAGCTGCGTCGCTCCCCTTTAGCAAAGAGCATTCCTGGAGGAAAGGCAGTTACTTTGCTAGGGCTTGGGAGGTGCACAGTGCTAGGAAGGGAATTTTCAAGCGTTCTTCCATCATAGCATTAGAAGGGACTCGACACCATTTTGTCTATCTACCCTCAACTCCTTCTCCATTCCAAGAAGAATAATGTGCTCCAGTTTCTTGTGTCCCCTCTTGAAGTGTGGGCCACAGAATGGAACACAACACTCTAAATGTGGTCTAGCCAGCACTGAAGGGTAAGACTGCCTGTTCTACTTTCAACACTCTCAGTCTACTAACAAAGCCGCAGTTTTGACTGTTTTTCAAACCCACTCATTATGTGGTTACGTCATTGTGCTGTAGCCTCATATTGAATTGCCAGTTAACAAACACACTTACTTTTGTATTATTTATTTGCTTATTTACTTCTTTTCTCATTTCCTCCATGCATCCACCTCAGTTAGGGTCGAAATGCTCCTTAGCTATGTGTGCTGAGTTTCTGGTGGTCTCATCTCCACTGGGTCTGGGCACCCGTTGCTTTTAAAGTTCTTTCCCTTTTGTGGAGAATACGGACTTGGGCAGGAGAAGAGTGGTGCTGTTTTAGAGGTCTCTTTACACCTCTATTGTCCTTGTTACGAGCGCCATAATTTCTTGTTTTCAATCAACGCTTTTAAAAATGTCTCTTTTTAAATTTCTCTGGTATTTTTAGAAAACTTCAGCCCACTCTGATGCTGTGCTTAGCTGGCGTTATTATCAGAGAACATGCCAGGATTTTATAGCCACAATTTTGGGACCCTCCTTCCACCTTTTAGGCTAAGTCCTTTCCCAGTTTCTCAAAGAGCACCCTGGGAAAACCTGCTGCTTTCTCGAGTCTTTTTCTCTTTTTTCACTCTTCAAGTTTAAAGGTCAGAATTTTGCCTGTCAGAACTTTCCATACCTCTTGGGCATCTACCCTTTTGAGTCTCTGGCTATGGAATTATCCAACTTTTTACTGACTTTTTTGAAACTACTTTCCCAAACTCCAAGTTAAGTCTGATGCCTAACACATCCATTTCTGGGCAGAATCATTCAGTGATAACCTTTTCACACTTTTCTACAGTTCCCATTATTTCCAGATACCACCCGAATCTATGTTATGATTCAGATTTAAAACCAAGTAGCAATTTCAATTATTGCTTTCTCTCTGTGGTGAGAAAAATAACAAACTTAACAAAGGCTGCGCATTGAGCAAAATGAGCCTTTAAGTAGATGTCCAAATCGATGAAGCTCTTTGTCTCTACTGTGAGGTGCTTCAGTGATGGTGTTACAATTTACAGAGGAATGTCTTACCCATTTTCTAGAGATTGGCTGGGCTGCCTGAATTTACTCCCTCAGTAAGGTTTTTCCTATTTGCTTTTTTAAAAAAATTGTCTTCCAAGTATTCTCCAAAATTATTCCATGTAAAATCTCACAGAATCACTGACCTCCAGTAGTGGCCCAGAGTTTGAAGTAGGGGATCTTGGTGCATAACCACCCTTGCCTCTTCTTTACATTGGATGTAGCAATATTTACCTCACATAGGATGCTGGGAGCATTAAGCAAAGCAATGGTAATGGCTAGGCAAGGGGCCATGCAAACTAGAAAAAGAGTAGCACAAATGTTTGCAGTGATTTTTACTGAGTTATTATTACTCTGCCTCTTCAGTGAAACATGTCCATGGAATGAGACACACCTCATCTTTACAACATTCCAAAGCTGAGTCTTATTCTATTTCTTATAATAAGACTTAGAATAAAACTTTCTTATTCTTATTCTTATTTACTATTTGTAAAACTCCATTTACCATCCTGTATTAGATTATCAAGTTTTCATTGTCGATTAGACCTAATCAATACATTAGATAATAAATAAAGAAAAAAAGTTTTTAAGACAGGAAGCCTCTTTTATTTTGGAGCACCAAGCACTAGGCACATACCGCAATCAGGCTTTCAGTGTTTAGGGAATATAACTTTTTCCTCTTCACTCTGTAGTGATCTGGTCTTTGCCTACACACAATGAAGCTCTGCATAAGAAAGGGAACTAACCATATGTGATTGGCCACCTATAGGTCGAAAAAATAATCATACATTCATTTTAATATCAACCAAACAAGGAGAAATAGGAAGAGAAAATTATTATGTAGCACACAACTTAGATTTCCATACTTAAAATCCTATTTATTCTTAAATATGTTTATTAAGATATAACTCACATATCAAGGAATTCACCTGTTTAAACTGGACATTTCGATGGTTTTAGCATCTTCACAGATATGTGTGACCATTACCACAATCTAAGTTTAGAATGTTTTCATCACCCCAAAGGAAATGCCACAGCCATCACACTAGCAGTCCCCCCTTATTCCCCCCAACTCTCTCCTCCACAGCCTGAGTCACCACTAATCTACTTCCTCTAGATACAGATTTGTGTATTTCAAACATTTCATATTATTGGAATCATGAAATATGTGAGGGTTTTGCAGCTGGCTTCTGGCCTTTTTCACTTTTCAAGTTTCACCTATGTCATACCATGTGTCAAAACTTCATTTCATTTCAGGACAATATCTCATTGTACAGATATAGCACATTTTATTTTATTTATGCATTTATCAATTTAAGGTGGTCCCCAATGTTTGGTTATTATTCATAATAATTATTATTGGATATTATTATTCATAATAACCAAACATTGTTACGAACATTCATATATGATGCTATGAATTTTCATGTACAAGTCTTTTGGGGTTGGATGTTTTCATTTCTCTTAGATAGAAACCTAGGAGTAAAGTTGCTCAGTCACATGATAATTCTCCATTGCCAAGCTGTTTCCAAAATGGCTGCACCATTTTACATTCCCTCCAACAAATTTATGAGGGTTCCAATTTCTCTGCATCTTGTGAATATTTGTTCTTGTCTGTCTTTTCTATAACAGTCAACCTAGTGTATGTCAAGTAGTGTCTCATTATGGTTTTAATTTCAATTTCTCTAATTATTAATAATAATGGGTATTTTTATGTGCTTATTGGCTGAATATCTTCTTTGGAGAAATGTTTATGCAAATCCTTTGCCCACTTTTTAATTGGGCTTTCTTTTTATTATTCAGTTTTAAAATTTCTTTATATATTCCAGATACAGGTCCCTTATCAGATACATAATTTGCAATCCTTTTTCATTCTGTATATTGTATTTTCACTTTCTCGATTTTATCACTTTATTACAAAATTTGCTTAATTATGATGTAATTCAACTCAGCTGTTTCTCCTTTGGTTGCTTTCAATTTTGGTGCCAAATCTTAGAAATCACTGCTTAATCCAAGATTATCAAAATTCACTACTGCTTTTTTCTAAGAGTTTTACACTTTTAGCTCTTAAGTGTTTATCTTTTATCCATTTGATTTAATTTCACAATATAAAGTTAATCCAGTTTCATTCTTTTGCATATGGATATATAGTTGTCCCAATGTCATTTGTCGAAAAGACTATTACTATATGTTGAATTGTCTTAGCATCCTGTTGAACATCAATCAACCATAAATGTAAGTGTTTTGTTTCTAGACTCTCAATTCTATTGCATTGATATTTATATCTATCTTTATGCCAGCACTATGTCTTGATTACTGTAGCTTTGTAGCAAATGTTGAAGGTCAGAAGTGTGAGTCCCGCAATGTTGTCTTCTTCACAATTGTTTTGGCTCTTCTTGGTTTCTTACATTTCCATATGAATTTTATGATCAGCTTTTCTATTTCTCCAAAAAAAAAGCTATTTGGATTTTTATAGGGAACACATTGAATCTGTAGATTAATTTGGGAAGCATTGCTATCTTAACAATATTAAGTCTTCTAATCCATGAACATGAGGTATCTATGTATTCAGATGCTGAATTTCTTTCAACAGTGTCTTGTAAGTTTTTCATGTACAAGTCTTGAACTTCTTTTGATAAATTTACTCCTGGGTATAGTATTCATTTTGATGCTATTTTAAATTGAATTGTTTTCTCAATTTCCTTTTCAAATTACTCATTGCCAGTGTGTAGAAAAACAGTTAATTTTATTGCTCATCTTGTATCCTGCAACTTGGCTGACCTGATTGATTAGTTTGAAGAGTTATTTCATGAATTCTTAACATTTACCATATACAAGATCATATCATCTGTGAATAAAAATAGTTTTAGGCTGGGCGCAGTGTCTCATGCCTGCAATCCCAGCACTTTGGGAGGTCGAGGCAGGCAGATCATGAGGTCAGGAGATTGAAACCATTGTGGCTAATGCGGGGAAACCCTGTCGCTACTAAAAATACAAAACTTAGCCAGGTGTGGTGGCGGGCACCTGTAATTCCAGCTACTCGGGAGGCTGAGGCAGGAGGATCACTTGAACCCGGGAGGCGGAGATTGCAGTGAGCTGAGATTATGCCATTGCACTCCAGCCTGGGCAACAAGAGTGAAACTCCATCTCAAAAAAAAAAAAAGAAAAAGAAAGAAACAGTTTTATTTCTTCCTTTCCAATCTGATGTTTTTTATTTATTTTTCTTGTCCAGATGACCTAGCTAAGGCATCTGATATAATGTTGAATGGAATTGGTGAAAGCAGATGTTCTTGTCTTGCTCCTGATCTTAGCGAGGAAGCATCTAGCCTCTCACATTAAGTATGATGTCATATCTAATTTTTGAGACATACTCAAAAGCAAAGAAAAGGAAGGTCATCTTATTCCAGGAATTGTAGCTCTCCACTTAGATGTTTTGAGAACTCTCCTAGCTGAAGTCAGACCCCTTAATATTGTTTTATTGAACAATAATTGTAGTACTTTAAAGGCAAAGGTCCCATAAGACTGACATACATGACATAAATTTAAGCAACTCTTATTAATTTGTATTAAGTTAGCCTAAAGAATAACCTGTGTTCCTTCTAGACTTGTATAATTCAGGAGTCTGAGAGATTCCAGTGTCATAAAAATTGAAGGTAAAAGAGCAACACTCTTGCCTTTGCTTTTCATTTAAAGAAGAAAGCACATACTTAACTTTCACCAGAATGGAGAAAGCAAAAAAACTTTCTTGTTTTCAAACATAGCACTAAACACTGAATGAACATTCTCTCTGCCATATGATCATAAACCCATTTACACAGCAATTCTCTTTCTGCAGTTACAGAGGGAGTCAGATATCCTCAGCTACTTCAAGTTCATTCTTTGGTTATGCACTGAAGTTCAAGGAGTCTCTTGTCCATCCAAATTGGGGTTAATACCAGACCATCCAGTCTAATTTGCTTTCCTATTCAACTGCAAAGAAAATCTCCTGGTCAAAAGAAAATGCAATGTGGATTTCAGTCTTGCCTAGAAGTCTTTCCATTTTGCTTTACTAAGGCTTGTTCATGTTTAGTACTACATTAAGCAACTAATTAGATCAGAAATAAAAATAATCTGACTCTGGCCACCTATTTCCACCTTAAACCCTTTCCTTTCCAATTAAATATAACAAACATCTTTTGTGAGATTCTCAAGCCAATTTCCCTCCAAACGTTTTGATTTTTGTTTTTGTTTGCCTCCTCCCATCTTCCTCTATACCCCCCAGGAAAGAAAGAAACTTCAAATCACAGTCTAGAGCATGAAACTGATGCATGCATGGAAACCCCCAGAAGGAATTTGAGTGGAAGTACTCCAGGGTCCTTCCCCACAAGGCCAGATCTAGCAAATGTTTTCCAGATGTGGCTGCTCTTAACTCTACTACCACCAACTCAGCCCCTCTCCCACCTGCCCTCAGACCAGAAAGCAGTATCAAGACCTGCAGTCCAGCCCTCATCACCCCACAAGGGATTCCTAGAGGAGGTTATACTTAGCCTCTATTCCCTCCCTGCCATGTAGAAAAGCTCCCACAAAGCCCATGACACAGGTCATGAACTCTTGGTCTTGTTCTGATCACAGACCCTCACTTTGTGGTCTCTGTGGTCCAGCAGCATCAGTGGCATCTGGGCAGTTGTTAGAAATGCAGACCCTCCAGCCTGGGTGACAGAGTGAGACTTCCTCTCAAAAAAAAAAAAAGAAAGAAATGTAGAATCTCTGCCCCAGCCCAGACTTACTGATCAGAATTTGTATTTTTATTTAACAAGATCACCTGGTGATTCCCATGTACCTTAACGTCTGAGAAGGCCTACTCTGGAGCACTGGTTTCCAAACTTCAGTGTGCACCAGAATCCTCTGGTGGGCTTGTAGAAACACAGATTTCTGGGCCCTTCCTCCAGGGTTTCTCATTCAGAAGTCTGGGGTGGAGCTTGAGAATTTGCTTTTATAAGAAGTTCCCAAGTGAGGCTGATTTTGCTATCTGAAGTCTGAGGACTACACTTGGAGAGACACTGCTCTAGGGGCATCCCATCTCACCAAAGAGTAGGAGTGTTGAGAATTCTTGGAATCTAAAATATTGATTTATTTGCAAATTAATAGAAATATTCCATAACGTGATTGCAGCTGCCTCCTTTGTTTTCACTTTGCCACATTCTTCTGTTACTTGTTGGAAGACTGTTGGTCTTGTTTCCCTCTAACATCTCCCAACTCACATCACCCCACCATCCTGACCTGCCCTCCCTGGCCCCATGCTGGAACACTTCAGGAATCTGCAAAGCTCTGTCCAAACTGGCATTGCTGAGAAAGACTTTTCATCTCCTACCCCAGGCTGCCTCCCAGCGAGCCAGCCCTAGGACTGCCTGCTGCCACCCCTGCCTTGATCCGTCCAAGCCATTTCCCTCCATGCACAGCCATTTACAACACTCCTGAAGAGGAGGCCAGCTCAGTCCCTGCCTTTGTGTGCCTCTAAACTTCACACAGCTCCTTCCCCTTTTCTTGTGTAGCATAATCAGTTGTACTGTTTTTAAGAGATTTCAATCTCTGCCCCTGAATGAATTTTAACACAACTTTGGCAACTTACGGATTTGCCAGGAAGAACCTAGAGCAAGAGTTGAACATTGCTGGGATGCTGACTGATGCAGTTCAAAACTCTAGGATATAGCAATGAGCAATGCAGACAAATCTTGACCTTGCAGCATGTACACTCTGGTAAGAGGAGAAACAGCAACCTATTAACACATGCATGCATTTTATGTGGAAAGAACAAAGCAAGGGAATGACCAGGGAAGAAGGTTCTATGTGAACCCACATCATAAGGGAAGACCTGTCTGAGGGGTAATGTCTTAAAAGACATCTGAGTGAAGATCTAAAAGAAGAACTTTCCAAACAAGAAAGCAAGTGCAAAGGACCCAAGATGGCAGTGAACGTGACCTTTTAGAGAAGCAGCAAGGCCAGTGTGGCTGGAGTGGAGGTGATATGGACAGGGAAATACTAGGTAGAAGAGGGCAGTTCCCCAGCAAAGCCCCCATCCCCAAGCCTAGAAACCTGTGGCCCTAAATGGGAATAGGTATTCCTGTTTTTGAGCCCAAATGTTGCCTTTTGGCACAGCACAACCCCCTATTCTGTACCCATATAAACCTCAAACCCCAGGCTCCATAAGCAGATGAGCAGACGAACATAAGAGCAGAGGAACAGGAGAGTGGCACTGCAAAGAAGGAGAGAAGAGAAGGAGCATCTGAACGTTGAGAAGAGTTCAGCTGGGGATGGTTGGAGAGGACATCAGCCATGGGACAGCCAAACTCCAGGGGAAGATCATCTTTCCACCCCATCCCCTTTCTAGCTCCCCACCCATCCTGCTGAGAGCCACCTCCATCTGGCAATAAAATCCCCACATTCACAATCTTTCGAGTCTGTGTGTGACCTGATTCTTTCTGGACACTAAACAAAAACCCAAGTACCAACCAGGCAATGAGCTGGTTAACACTTAAGTTGTCTGCAGACGGCAGAGTTGAAAGAGCACTGTAGTACACCCACTCAGGCTTCAAGAGTCACAGGCACCAACCTGTAGACACTACCATGAGGCCAGAGCCCAAAAGCACTCGCCCTGGCTCCTGCTCCTGCCTGTCTGTGTGTTCCCCTTCCTGTAAGGGGTTCAGCACACAGTGCAGCAGCCACCCAAACAGACAAGCCACACCCCTGTCACACATCCTGCGAGGGGGTCAGGGAACTCTCCCATTTCAGAGGGGTGTGAAGATAGTGGTAGGAAGGCAAGTGGAGAGATGGACAGAGGCCAGGCAGTTTGAAGGGTTTGAATTTTATCTCAAGTATGTTGGTAAGACAGAGGGTTTCGAGTTGCAGTTTTACATAATCTGATTTCAAATTGTACAAGGTCACTCTGGCTTCTGTGTTAATTAAAATAATGACCTGCAGAGTAGAAATAGTTGGAAGGCTGAGGTGGGAGAATCACTTGAGCCTGGGAGGTCAAGGTTGTAGTTAGTTTGCCAGTGCACTCCAGCCTGGGTAGCAGAGTGAGACCCTGTTACTAAAAAGAGAGTGGAAGCAGAGAGACAGACAGTGTTCTAGACAAGACAGGGTGGCTGTTTGGCCAAGGGTAACAACAGTGAAGGAGGTGATTCATGGGTGAATTGAGGGATCCTTTGAATGCCGAGCTGACTAGACTTCCTGATGAATTGGATGTGAGAAAGAAAGAAGGCAGGGATGATCTGATGACCTGAGTGAAGGTTGGTATCATTTTCTGAGATGGAGCAGGAGCACAGCTGGAGGAGAAATTGAGTCAAAGAGTAAATTCTTTAGCTGAATGGACTCATGCAAATTAATTAACCCACCATCCATGTCAGATCCTGCTGCTCAAAGCTTAGGTTTAAACTGGGGCCCCTGCTATAAACAGAAGGCAAAATAGATGGAGTGGAGCTGAACAGAGTGGGGATGGGGAATGCTCATTGAAGAGTACCCCAAAAGCTCTTAATGAGCCCCCTGAGATTTGTCAGCCAACATGGAGGCTTTGCTCACCAATGAAGGAGACAGGATCTAGAAAGCCCCATGCTAAGAGTAAGTAAGAGACACAACATGGCCCATTAGGGTTGAGACCTGGCAAACCCCAGACATGCCCATTCAGAACAGATAGCCCCACCGCCACCCCTGGGCTGGGGTCCAGGGACACAGGGACATGGGAGACCAGGGCCTTTCCTGCCAGAGTCACCTCACATAGAACGTACGACAGCAGGTGCTCTGTGTGATCTGTCTAGACAGAGCCGTTCCAAAACCTTAGAAAAGAAAACAGAAACAAGCCTGAGCCTTCACCTTGGGGAACTTCCTGGAAATGCAGGGCAGGCATGTTTGCTAGAGTAATTTCCCCTACAGCACTGGAATCCTTGCACTGAGGGAATGGATTTCTTCCTGATGGGCTCTTTCTCTCTAATTTTCCTCGATGTATATCTTTTGCATAGGCAGCTTTTATTCTTGCCTGTCTCTGAGATCTTTTCTTACATATACCTTAGCGTGCCTATGGGACTCTCTTTGGAGGAGGACATGGTGTCTCTACCAAACCTTACCATTGCCTCTATTGCACTTCCTCTTTTTTGTCCCTCCTAAGGCTCCTCCTTGGCCCTTCTCAATCCCAGCCCCCATGTAGTCAGTCTCATTTATTCTCCTAGTAATTGTCCTCATCACTAGCCTTTCCTCCTCACAGAGTGGTCTTCATCAAAATGTAAAGAAGACCGTGTTCCTCCTCCTAGGGCACATTTTTCAAATGCACAGTTTTTTTCAAATGCACAAAACCAACCAATCCACAGCTCACACCCCTAAGCACCTTCTCTACCAGGCTCTCACACTCTGGGCCCCTGTCCACCTGCCCAAAACACCTCTGGGTCAAGAACTAGACAACTAGAGATAGCCCCTGTGCCCCAGAGTCACTGAAATCATTCAAACCAGCCAGTCCTACACCTGCTTCTCCTGCACGCCTGTTCCTTCCTGCAGGAGCCACAGTAGAGAATCTCACCCACAGCATCCCTTCTCTGCCTCCAGCCTCCTCCCAGTGCCTCCCTGTGTGGCCTGTGGCATGATGTGCCCTCCCTTTCCCGGGATCTGGGAGTATAGCAGACTGCCTTCCAATGGCTGTCATCTCTTGATCTGTTGGTCCTCTGGTGCTCTAAATGCTTTTGTTCCCCCCAAATTTATATGTTGAAATCTAGACCCCCAGTGTGATGGTCTTAGGAGGTGGGACCTTTAGGAGGTGATTAAGTCATGAGGGTAGAGACCTCATGAATGGGGTTAGTGTCCTTTACAAAAGAGACTCCAGAGAGATTTCTCACTCCTTCTGACTCATGAAGACACAGTGAGAAAACAGTCATCTGTGAATCATAAAGCAGGCCTTCACCACATACCAAATTTGCTGGTAACTTCATCTTAGATTCCCAGCTTCCAGGACTGTGAGAAATAAATGTTAAGCTACCCAGTCTATGCTATTTTTATTACAGCAGCTGGAGTGGCCTAAGACCATTGGTCATGCCATCCCTAAATAATAATGAAACCTATTAAAATACAGTATTGGCCGGGCGTGGTGGCTCATGCCTGTAATCCTGGCACTTTGAGAGGCTGAGGCGGGCAGATTATTTGAGGTCAGGAGTTCGAGAACAGCCTGAGCGACATGGTGAAACCCCGTCTCTACTAAAAATACAAAAAATTAGCAGGGCGTGGTGGTGAGTCCCTGTAATCCCAGCTACTCGGGAGGCTGAGGAAGGGGAATTGCTTGAACCTGAGAGGCGGAGGTTGTGGTGAGCCGAGATCGCATCACTGCATTCCAGTCTGGGCTAGAAAGCAAGACTCCACCTTAAAAATAAATAAATAAATAAAATAAAATACAGTCTACATTTTGATGAAGACCACTCTGTGAGGAGGAAAGGCTAGTGATGAGGACAATTACTAGGAGAATAAATGAGACTGACTACATGGGGTCTGAGATTGAGAAGGGCCAGGGAGGGGCCTTAGGAAGGACAAAAAAGAGGAAGTGCAATAGGGGCAATGGGAAGGTTTGGTAGAGACACCGTGTCCTCCTCCAAAGAGAGTCCAGCAGGCATGCTAAGGTAATCCTTAAGAAAAGATCTCAGAGACAGGAGGAGGAGGACTCCTACCAAAGGGTGTGGGGAGGTGACAAGGGAGGCAGAAACGCAGGGCGACTCAAGGGTATTATGAGGTTGTCCAGAACAGGGTGTGCCTAGCGTATGCACGTAGAGCAGGTTAAAGCATCAAGTTCACAGAAGCTAAAAACGGGCTAATGCAAGGCTGCAAGTCTAAACGTGCCTGGCAGTTTCTTTGGAACCCACCACCCTAATTTGCAACAGACACCCCCTAAGGCACCTTAAGAGGATCTGTTCTTTGACCAGGATCCTTTCACTGAAACTGTTCAGATCCCTCTTCTCATCACTTAGGTATAAGTAGTAGAGGTAGCTCCTCCTAGAATCCAGTTAGAGCAATGTTTTGATTTGTGTCAGTGTGTTTGTGCCACGGAAACAGATGTTCATCTGAAAGGCCCCAGGACATGGATATAGTGATGGAACCCTTGGAATTGCAGATAGACAGGCACACTAATAAAGGAGGTATTTTACAGAGGGGAAGAAATTTGTGGGACTGTCTATATCACA
Organism: Homo sapiens; assembly: GCF_000001405.40. Classification (NCBI taxonomy): domain Eukaryota; kingdom Metazoa; phylum Chordata; class Mammalia; order Primates; family Hominidae; genus Homo; species Homo sapiens. The sequence goes on along the minus strand of NC_000004.12, from coordinate 154,123,464 downwards.
CTAGGAAGGCAGTCACCTGCAGTCCACCCTGGCTATACAATTTTTATAATCATCTAGAGCATATAAAAAGTTTCTGGGTTTTTTTTTCTGTTTTTTACTTTTCTTCTTCTTCTTCTTCTTCTTCTTCCTCTTATTATTATTATTATTATTATTTGAGACAGGATCTCACTCTGTCACCCAGGCTGGAGTGGAGTAGTGTGATTTCTGCTCACTACAGCCTCCACCTTGCAGGATCAAGCAATCACCTCAGCCTCTCGAGTAGCTGGAACTACAGGTGCATGTCATCATGCCCAGCTAATTTTTTGTGTATGTGTGAAGACTAGGTACTATGTTGCCCAGGCTGGTCTCAAACTTCTGGTCTCAATTGACCTGCCACCTCGGCCTCCCAGTGTGCTGAGATTATAGACATGAGCCACTATGCCTAGCTGAAGCTTCTGTTTAAATGTGGCATTCTCCTACACAAAAATTATAGGCCAGTCATCAAGATACACATTCTGCCATCTAGGAATCTTAAGAAAGAAAGAGATAAGAGTGAGAGCAAGAGAGAGAGAAATTACACACACAGGCTACGCCATACCCTACAAACAAAGAAACTTGGTCTAAACTGCTCCAAAAGACAAGGGAACAAATGTTTGTAGAAAATATAAGAATATGCATTTCAGATAAACATAAGAAAAGTTTTTCTAATGTTAACTACCCCAAAAATGACGCAGGCTTCCTCACTAATGAGTGAGTTTCACATCTCATCATGCAAGGAACAGTTAAGCTAGCACAGCACGTTGAGGACAAACAGCAGAAATGGCTGGGGTGGAGGTGGGAGCACACAGAGCAACTTGGACCAGAGCAGCAGGGAGATGGGTGCAGGGAGGCCTGAGGGAAGTCGCTGAGGCCATAGCAACAGAAAATCCCAAACTGATTCACGGAGGCAGATAGGCATTCCAGATTAACTCACCTGGGCAATGGAATGGGGTACAGGACAGTTCATGGGATTGAAACTCAGGTACAAGCAGGTGAGGACTGGAGCAGCCTGATTCTAGTATTCATGTGGAGGTGACAATATTCATTGATGTAGACTGGTAAAATCTGGAGCCATTTGGGTTATAATAAATATCCTTGTAGCCGACACAGGCAGTAGAGACCCAAGTTGCTGGTATTCAGTCACTTTTAGGCTTAATTTACGTTTTCAAAATTGACTAGCTTGCATGGTTTACGTCACCTGCCATGGGATGTCGATGGCTGAGCCGGAACACCCATCACTACAAAGTGGGGACTGTTGCAGCTCACATGAAGGAGGAGAATGAGATGGGAGCTGTGGGACTCCAGAGATTGGACTTGGTGAAAGTTAGCACAAAGTGGATTTTAATTTAATATAAAAAGCAGTGTTCGGGCAGTTGGGTCTGTCTGGCAATGGAACAGGCTCACTTGTGTGGTCAATGGAAGTCCTCCTGGGTCAACTCAAGTACTCCAGCAGGCTCTGTACTGAGGGAGGGGGTGAAGCTAACTACATTCCAGCATCTTTCTGCCTCTTAGGCTTTTCTCTTTTTAACACCAAGGCTGGCAGGGATGACAATATGTTGTCCACATCATCTTCCTTAAAGCAGAACTGTAGCATTTCAAACGAGCTCTATTAGGCAGTCAGTGCTCTAAATTTATGAAGCTACCTTCAGTTGGAGCTGTCACAGCCTCTCTTCAGCAATTTATGCTAATATCAAATGCTCATTAACCTGTTATATTGATATTTAAGGGCATTTTTTGTTCCTTATGAAAACTATAGCTGATACCCACCATCATTAATATCCAAATGTTAGTATATCATAAACTCTCCTTTCTTTATTCACTCAATTTAAACTGAGTGATAAGCCTGGTTGTGATTAGCATTCTTCTACTCTTCACTCTCCAGGGCGCCTTTAAACAGAGGGGGTAGCAGGAATATAACAAGAGCATGCACCAGTTTTTGAGAGGCATCTCAATCTATTCTCAGTCCAGAGCTCTCTAGGTAAACGAGCTCTGGACTGAGAATAGACAGAATGAGATGTGAATTATTTAAAAGCAGGGACAGGTTAAGAACCATTCCAGGAGGCAGAATCTGAGAAGGCCCCTGTTGGCACAAAGGCCACAGCCTCTGACTGCTTTGAAAACACTGAGCCGAGACCTGACATTGGACTGTGCTTGCATAAGGAGGAGACATGCTGGGGGCAGGCCTGCCCCTTCCTAAAGCAAAGCAAGAGTAGGCAACTCCCTCCCTCACAGACCCTCTGGCCTGTGGTTCTGGATTTGCCACACCCTGTGGCATACAGGCCAGCATTGCAGAGCCATGGGTGGTTATCAGTTCCAGAAGGGTGGGACCTCAGAAATCATGCATTCTCATCTGGACCCTGGAGATCAGTGTTTACCGCCCTGGAGTGCCCAGTAGAACCAATTAGCAAGAGGACAAGTTTGGGAAGCCAGTGTGGTCTGCTTCCTGCAGGCAACTCGACTTGGAGAGCATGCCTACCTCCCCCAGGAAGTATCCAATGATCTTGTGTTCTTTGGAAATGTGATCTTGTCATGTGCATACTTTCATGCCACTGATTTAAGCCACAGCTTAAATCCGTCAAAAATGTTTCACCAAAAAAAAGTTCATAGTGTGGTTTGTGGAAGTTCTACTTAAACCTGAGCCAGTGATGGACTAACAGCTGCAGAGAGACTAGAAAGTGCTTCCAAGTCTACTTTTTAGAGCAATTTCTATTTCCAAGACCAAGAAGACTATTTTTTAAAACATATAAAAGCATTATCTCTTGCTCCTGCCCCCAAAGTAGTTCCAGGTAAAATTCTCTCCATTTGCCTGCATAAGCAAAACATCTTTAATACAGTTATACAAATGTGATTTCCTCACTGGTGAATATCACATTTTTGTGGGTTCACAAAAAATAAAACTGCTTTTCCTTTTGGCAGAAAATTGCTTATGAAAAGCAAAGGTGGTTTTGGTTTTCGGTGCTTTCTTTCCCAAGCAGGACATGGTGTTTTCGGTGGTGAGAAACCACCTCTGTGATACACACAGTCAATTTTCACCTGCAACTAAATCGGTTTCGCACTAAATTTTCCATTTAGACAAGGAAAGCCAGCGTTTACCTGGTAAACTAGTAAGATGTTATCCCAGACCAAATTCACCAACATCTATAAAACTGTCAGTCATGGAGGAATTTTTGCCATGAGCCAGGAACCACAAGGACATTAACCCTTTTGCAATGAAATAGATGAAAAATAATTCAAATCCTCAAACTCAAGGAAAACTAAGTCCTCTTGGGGCCCAACTGTCCTGGTGGCCAGGCAGGCACCCAGAGAGTCATCCCTCAGCCAAGCCACAAGACAGCTCTCACTCTCCTCCCCCAGAAACACTTAAGAAATCCCCAAGTGAGATGAAGGTTGATGGAAGTAAAAACCTATTCAGAACAAATGATCCTTTATCATACATGGATTTACCAGACATTTTGTTTCTCCCATATTAAATTTTTGTTTTCATGGGCACCTTTGCTCATTAGGGCCTTCCAGGGGAAGAAGACCCTTTGACATCAGTGAAATTGTCTGTTTCACGACTTTCTGGGACACCCACAGGTAAAAATGAAGGGTCTTCGTGCATGCCACCATTTTGAAGTGATGTTGACCTGGAAGTCAGTGGATATGACCCTGCTGCCTCAGGTGATTGCCAGTCTCTGGGGTGCCAGCTTTCTCCTCCATACAATGAGGGTAACAAAGGAATTGCTTCTGAGAAGAGTGACAAGGGATTTTGGTTTCGAAGTCTGCATATAAAGCAAAACAACACCCGTATTATCAATACTGCACTTGAAAATCTCCAGCCTGGAACAGATCTATTTCTTTGAGCACCAAATGAAGATGGTGCAGCTTGCATTCAGGGACTACATTAAAGGATGCTGTGCATGTCTCTTTCCTCTGGGTGGAGCACTCACCCTCTGAGGAGCAGGAGAAGGGACACCCCGAGGACACAGCTACCTTACAGCTCAGGCTGAGGCAGGGACTCCCTGAGGGGGACGATGCCACTACCTCCTGTCCTTCCTCCTCCCAGCTCACCTTCCTTCACTGGTAAAGATTACCTATGAAATTCACTAAGCGGATGTGCATATATATGGCATGCTATCATATTGTTTATTCATGTGAGATAACAATGATGATGGAAACTACTGTTACTTGTCTTTTACAGGTCGGAGCAGTGAGGCTCCAAGAGGCAGGGCTGAGATAGGTAATGAAGAGGCCCATGGTCATTCCCTAGCTCGTATGACTTCTCCAGGAGCATGCCTGGCCTCAGGCTGAATGCAGAAAGAGTGGTGAGACACCAAATCAGCCCATGTGGAATAGTCACTCTGCTGGGCATAGAACAAGGCATGCCTGCACACATTCTATGTAAAGGTTTTGTTCTCGTTGTGGAAAACCAGTGGAATTTATCATTTGTAACCATTGTAACCGCTGTCGTAACCTCCGGTGAATTTTCAAATGTAAACATAACAAAAGGTTTCTGCCTTTTGGGTTTATTAGTGAATATATCACATCAATATAAGATGCATTTCCATGCCTGCACCAGTAGGCACCCTTCCAATGGCTTGGTAATTAAAAGCCTTCATCTTCACTCTCTAGCCTGAGACCTGTCAGCACTTTTAAGTGCTTTCATTTTCAGTGTTACTTATAATTACAAAAATCCTAGGAAAAACTAAATCTAATTATATGAGAGATTTATAAAGTAAGTTATGATTAGTAAATACAATAGAATACAGGTACTGACATTTAAAAACCAGACTGTATAAGACAACATAAACAGTATACGTTTAAGTTGACAACATAAACTTTTACCTCTATAAATTTCTTCAAAATATGTGTAGTATGTGTGTTTTAGTCTGTTTTTGTGCTGCTATATGAGTGCCTGAGGCTAAGTAATTTATAAAGAACAGAAATTTCTCAGTTCTCGAGGCTGGGAAGTTCAAGATCAAGGTTCTGGCATCTAGTGAGGGTCTTCTTACTGCATCTTCACATGTTGAACACTGTCCCCTCTTCTCACAGCCCAATGGACTCTGACAAGTCGCTGCTGCTGTCATGCCCTTGATAGCTTAGACTCCCCATACAGGCAGCTGTGTTGGAGTTGGGCTTCAGGTTTCAATTCTTTGAGGTCTCACTCACAGGCTCAACCTTTGTTCCCTCTTCTAGGATATTTGAGATGATGAGAGCTGGCACATTCTGAGCCAAATTCAAGTTTTACTCATGAACCCTAGGGCTCTGAGTTGAGTCTCACTTGTTTAATGGTTGCTGAATAGTCTATTACACAGACATATGACAATTTATTTAGGCATTCTCCTCTTTTTTTTTTTTTTTTTTTTGAGACAGTCTCACTCTGTTGCCCAGGCTGGAGTGAGGTGGCACAATCTCGGTTCACTCGACTCTGCCTCCCAGGTTCAAGCAATTCTCCTGCCTCAGCCTCCCAAGTAGCTAGGATGACAGGTGCATGCCACCACGCCCGGCTAATTTTTGTAATTTCAGTAGAGGTGGGGTTTCGCTATGTTGACCAGGCTGGTCTTGAACTCCTAACATTAGGTAATCTGCCCACCTCGGCCTCCCAGAGTGCTGGGACCACAGGTATGAGCCACCACGCCAGGCCGGCTTCCTCCTCTTATCTGACAGGTAGGGCTTTTATTTCTATTTTTTTCCCTGATGTAAATAACCATAATGAACATCTTCGTTCATATATCCTTGAACACATCTCTGACTACTTTCTAAAAATAGAACTACTTGGCAACAGTGTATGAACATTTTTAAGCTCTTTTACACCTATTGTCAAATTATTTGGCAACATCTTCCAGACAACCATGTATAAAAGTAACCATCTCACCCAACCTCTTATCAGTGCTCAATTTTAGCATAAAAAGCAAACCTTGCTAACTGGATATTTTGATCTGCATTACTTAATTTTGGATATAAAAATACATGTGACAGCTTTATGTGTTTCCTCCTTCTGTGACTTATGTGTTCCTGAGTAAAGGTAAAGTTTTTCTGTGCCCTGTATAATTGGAAAAATTCAGGTTTATTTGAGTGCCCCAATCAGCATTCCGAAAAGATGAAGACACTAAATGCCTTGCAGAAGCAGTAGTACCTATTTTTTACTGTTCTCTATTAGCTGACTGAACTATTTGCTTTGAATTCTAAGAAATTATTTTTTAAATTCCCAGTTGGGGATTCTGGCTTTTCTTTCTTCCTTTCTTTCTGTTTTTCTTTTTTTTAATTCATTTATTCTATTTCCTTCCTAGTTCTGTCTTCTGATAGAAATAAATGGTAAAAGTTACTTTCTACCAGCATGAGATGATAAAGCTATGTCAACTTATGCAGGGAATTAGAAATTCAACCTTTTAAATTAATTGCAGTTTATGTTACTTCACCAAGTGCCGTGACCTGAAAAACTGATGCTGTGCCTGGCACCATTAATGTGAATATTTTGGTCTTAGCCTTTCTGTCAATAATCATGTCAAACTGTTCTGAGATGTAAACTCTTTTAGAATCATACTTTGGCATAATTCATCTAGACTATATCATTTTTGTGGTATTTTTTATTAGTAGAAGTGACAGGCCAGTTAAGAGGATTTTAGAAACAATTAAGATATTAATTCATGATAAAAGAATATTTCCAAAGTCTGGGGCATTTTCCTACATATTGCTGGGTCCAAGTGAAAACTCAACACTCCAGAAGAAAATTTGCCCCACCTTTAGGAGAGTGTTTTAAACCTTGAGCCTATATTTTATTTTATTCCTTTGCTATTTTATGAATTAATCATTTCAGGAAAGTAAATTGAAAACAGGAGTCTTCAGAACTCTGAGAAACACACACTCTAAGATTGTCACTTTTAAAATTAAGGTTCATTATTTGGATTTTCCATTTTTAGTTCAACTAGTATTTCTATTTATAAACTTCCAACCCCATTAGTTTGTTGTTGTTGTTGTTGTGTATTGTTAATGTCTTTTCTTCTGCCACAAACATTATACATGACCCAATCCCAAGCATCCCCTTGTAAAAGGTGCTTACTTAAACCAACAAAACAAACCAGCAGGAGAAAGAATTAGAGGGGACCTTTCTGAGAAGCAAAGGGGTCTCAGCATTATAAACAACATGGAAATAGATAATAGAATTGTGTCAAGTATCCCAAATCAAATTTATGTTGTCAATAATGTAATTGTTTCCACCTCTGCGAGAAACTTACGCACCACACTTTTGTTGACTATATAGATTGAGTACAGTTTTCTCTTCTAACCACACCCCCATTAAAATGTAACACATGTCTATAGCAAGCATGAAATCAAAAGACAAAGTACAGGAAATTGTTTTCATGTATTCCCTGTGCTTTAAAAGAATGGATAAGAGAAATCTTTGCAATTACTACTTTCTTAATACTTTATGGCTCAGTACAAAGAATCTTGCCTATTCTTCACCCAATCTTCTTGAGAAATGATGCAATCTCAATTCATTCATTCTTGCTCTCAGGTAAACTATAAGATTTGCATGTCAGCTTATGCAGGGAATCAGAAATTCAACCTTTTAAATTAATTGCAGTTTATGCTACTTCACCAAGTGCTGTGACCTGAAAAACAGATGCTGTGCCTGGCATCATTAATGTGAATATTTTTTATCCTAGCATTTCTGTCAATAATCATGTCGAACTGAACAGTATCTGAGTAAACTTTCTTACATGTTCTGAAATTGAAGAACATACAAAAGTGTGTTCTTCCATGAATGTAATCATAACCAAATATAAAATCTAAAATGCTACTTGTAGTATTTCAGCTGCCTGTATCAGTTCCTCAATAAAAGTAGGGAGCTCCTCGAATAGTAACTATTCTGGAAGTGCCAAATGTATTCTAAAAAGAAGGAAGAAAAGGCACATTTGCTTACAAAACCATCACAAATGTCTACCTCCTACTCTCAAATGTGGTGTGTCTGATCCACTGCAATGGACAGGGCTAGGTGATTGGAAAGTGAGGACAGCTCCTCAGTGTGGCCCAGCCTGAGACACAGCCCCGTCACTGTTGACATCAGGATCAGATTCATTGGTCTCATGGAGACAGGACAACCTGAAACACTTAGGGACCTCTGGCTGGCAGGTCAACATCCAGTTCACCTCAAGTGAAGCTCAGAGGCATTAAGTCTTGACTGATTTTTTGAAAATAGGTCTACACAAATTGCTAGTTTGGGGGTTTTGAATGCTCATTTGTAAGAAAAGTGAAATTCCCACCTTCCAAGACATTCCATAAATTGGAAAAAGAAGAATTGATTTTCTATATAGTTTTCTGTTCCTTCTATATATGTAACGCAATTAGGTACGTCTCTCGTAAGATAAATGTATGTGAATGACTTGAATGATACAGACGCTCCTTTGCTTGCACTCTGGCTAGGTTGTGGAAAGTATTCTCAGAGTCAATTATTTATAAGACCAAAGTGATTTTATTTTTTTAAATATTTTTTCGTTTGAACTTTCTCTTTTTTTAATTATACTTTAAGTTCTGGGATATATGTGCAGAACGTGCAGGTTTGTTACGTAGGCATACAAGTGCCATGGTGGCTTGCTGCACCCATCAACCCATCATCTACATTAGGTAATTCTCCTAATGTTATCCCTCCCCTAGCTCCCCATCCCCCACAGGCCCCACCGTGTGATGTTCCCTTCCTTGTGTCCACGTGTTCTCATTGTTCACCTCATTTTCTGTGCCTTTGTTAGTTTGCTGAGAATGATGGTTTCCAGCTTCATCCATGTACCTGCAAAGGACATGAACTCATCCTTTTTATGGCTGCATAGTATTCTATGGTATATATGTGTCACATTCTCTTAATCCAGTCTATCATTGATGGGCATTTGGGTTGGTTCCAAGTCTTTGCTATTGTGAATAGTGCCACAATACACATATGTGTGCATGTGTCTTCATAGTAGAATGATTTATAATCCTTTGGGTATATACCCAGTAATGAGATTGCTGGGTCAAATGGTATTTCTGGTTCTAGATCCTCGAGGAATCACCACACTGACATCCACAATGGTTGAACTAATTTACACTCCCACCAACAGTGTAAAAGTGTTCCTATTTCTCCACATCCTATCCAGCATCTGTTATTTCCTGACTTTTTAATGATCGCCATTCTAACTGGTGTGAGATGGTATCTCGTTGTGGTTTTGATTTGCATTTTTCTAATGACCAGTGTTGATGAACGTTTTTGTCTGTTGGCTGCATAAATGTCTTCTTTTGAGAAGTGTCTGTTCATATCCTTCGCCCACTTTTTGATGGGGTTGTTTGTTTTTTTTCTTGTAAATTTGTTTAAGTTCCTTGTAGATTCTGGATAATAGGCCTTTGTCAGTTGGATAGATTGCAAAAATTTTCTCCCATTCTGTGGGTTGCCTGTTCACTCTGATGATAGTTTCTTTTTCTGTGCAGAAGTTCTTTCATTTAATCAGATCCCATTTGTCAATTTTGGCTTTTGTTGTTGCTTTCGGTGTTTAGTCATGAAGTCTTTGCCCATGCCTATGTCCTGAATGGTATTGCCTAGGTTTTCTTCTAGGATTTTTATGGTTTTAGGTGTCATGTTTAAGTCTTTAATCTATCTTGAGTTAATTTTTGAATAACGTGTAAGGGGTCCAGTTTGTGTTTTCTGCATATGACTAGCCAGTTTTCCCAACACCATTTATTAAATAGGTAATCCTTTCATTGCTTGTTTGTGTCAGGTTTGTCAAAGATCAAATGGTCGTAGATGTGTGGCGTTATTTCTGAGGCCTCTGTTCTGTTCCATTGGTCTATGTAACTGTTTTGGTACCAGCACCATGCTGTATGGCATTATTCCTGAGGCCTCTGTTCTGTTCCATTGGTCTATGTATCTGTTTTTGTACGAGTACCATGCTGTTTTGGTTACTATAGCCTTATAGTATAGTTTGAAATCAGGTAGCATGATGCCTCCAGCTTTGTTCTTTTTGCTTAGGATTGTCTTGGCTATACAGGCTCTTTTTTGGTTCCATATGAAATTTAAAGTAGCTTTTTCTATTTCTGTAAAGAAAGTCAATGGTAGCTTGATGGGGACAGCATTTAATCTAAAAATTACTTTGGGCAGTATGGCCATTTTCACGATATTGATTCTTCCTATCCATGAGCATGGAATGTTTTTCCATTTGTTTTTGTCCTCTTTGCTTTCCTTGAGCAGTGGTTTGTAGTTCTCTTTTGAAGAGGTCCTTCACATCTTTTGTAAGTTGTATTCCTAGGTATTTTATTCTCTTTGTCACAATTGTGAATGGGAGTTCACTCATGATTTGGCTCTCTGTTTGTCTATTATTGGTGTATAGGAATGCTTGTGATTTTTGCACATGAATTTTATATTCTGAGACTTTGCTGAAGTTGCTTATCAGCTTCAGGAGATTTTAAGGTGAGACGATGGGATTTTCTAAATATACAATCATGTCACCTGCAAACAGAGACAATTTGACTTCCTCTCTTCTATTTGAATATCCTTTATTTCTTTCTCTTGCCTGCTTGCCCTGGCCAGAACTTCCAACACTATGTTGAATAGGAGTGCTCAGAGAGGGCATCCTTGTCTTGTGTTGGTTGTCAAAGGGAATGCTTCCAGCTTTTGCCCATTCAGTATGATACTGTGGGTTTGTCATAAATAGCTCTTATTATTTTGAGATACGTTCCATCAATACGTAGTTTATTGAGAGTTTTTAGCATAAAGTGGTGTTGAATTTTATCAAAGACCTTTTCTGCATCTATTGACATAATCATGTGGTTTTTGTCATTGGTTCTGTTTATGTTATGGATTATGTTTATTGATTTGCATATGTTGAACCAGCCTTGCATCCCAGGGATAAAGCCAACTTGATCATGGTGGATAAGCCTTTTGATGTGCTGCTGAATTCAGTTTTCCAGTATTTTATTGAGGATTTTCACATCAATGTTCATCAGGGATATTGGCCTGAAATTTTATTTTTTTGTTGTGTCTATGCCAGGTTTTGGTATCAGGATGATGCTGGCCTCATAAAATTAGTTAGGAAGGATTTTCTCTTTTTCTATTGTTTGGAATAGTTTCAGAAGGAATAATACCAGCTCCTCTTTGTACCTCTGGTAGAATTCAGCTGTGAATCCATCTGGTCGTGGGCTTTTTTTGTTGGTAGGCTATTAATTACTGCCTCAATTTCAGAACTTGTTATTGGTCCATTCAGGGATTTGACTTCTTCCTGGTTTAGTCTTGGGAGGGTTTGTGTCCAGGAATTTATCCATTTCTTCTAGACTTTCTAGTTTATTTGCATAGAGGTATTTGTAATATTCTCAGATGGTAGTTTGTATTTCTCTGGGATCAGTGGTGATATCCCCTTCATCATTTTTTATATGTCTATTTGACTCTTCTCTCTTTTCTTAGTAGTCTGGCTAGCAGTCTATTTTGTTAATCTTTTCAAAAAAACAGTTCCTGGATTCATTGATTTTTTGAAGGGGTTTTCATGTCTCCATTTCCTTCAGTTCTGCTCTGATTTCAGTTATTTCTTGTCTTTGGCTAGCTTTTGAATTTGTTTGCTCTTGCTTCTCTAGCTCTTTTTATTGTGATATTAGGGTGTCGATTTTAGATCTTTCCTGCTTTCTTCTGTGGGCATTTAGTGCTATAAATTTCCCTCTAAACACGGCTTTAGCAGTGTCACAGAAATTTTGGTACATTGTAACTTTGTTCTCATTGGTTTCAAAGAACTTATGTATTTGTGCCTTAATTTTGTTATTTACCCAGCAGTCATTCAGGAGCAGGTTGTTCAGTTTCCATGTAGTTGTGAGGTTTTGAGTGAGTTTCTTAATCCTGAGTTCTAATTTGATTGCATTGTGGTCTGAGAGACCGTTATGATTTCTGTTCTTTTGCATTGCTGAGGAGTGTTTTACTTCCAATTATGTGGTCAATTTTGGAATAAGTGTGATGTGGTGCTGAGAAAAATGTATACTCTGTTGATTTGGGGTGGAGAGTTCTGTAGATGTCTATTAGGTCCACTTGGTCCACAGCTGAGTTCAAGTCCTAAATATCCTTATTAATTTTCTGTCTCATTGATCTAATATTGACAGTGAGGTGTTAAAGTCTCCCATTATTATTGTGTGGGAGTCTAAGTCTCTTTGTAGATGTCTAAGAACTTGCTTTATGAATCTGGGTGCTCCTATATTGGGTGCATATATATTTAGGATAGCTCTTCTTGTTGCATTGATCCCTTTACCATTATGTAATGCCCTTCTTTGTTTGCTTTCTTTTTTTTAATCTTTGTTGGTTTAAAGTCTGTTTTATCAGAGACAAGGATTGCAACCCCTGCTTTTTTTTTTTTTTTTGCTTTCCATTTGCTTGGTAAATGTTCCTCTATCCCTTTATTTTGAGCCTATGTATGTCTTTGCATGTGAGATGGGTCTCCTGAATACAGCACACTGACGGATCTTGACACTTTATCCAATTTGCCAGTCTGTGTCTTTTAATTGGGGCATTTAGCCCATTTATATTTAAGGTTAATATTGCTATGTGTGAATTTGATCCTGTCATTATGATGTTAGCTGGTTATTTTGCCTGTTAGTTGATGCAGTTTCTTCATAGTGTCGATGGTCTTTACAATTTGGTATGTTTTTGCAGTGTCTGGTACCTGTTTTTCTTTTCCATATTTAGTGCTTCCTTCAGGAGCTCTTGTAAGGCAGGCCTGGTGGTGACAAAAATCTCTCAGCATTTGCTTGTCTGTAAAGGATTTTATTTCTCCTTCACTTATGAAGCTTAGTTTGGCTGGATATGAAATTCTGGGTTGAAAATTCTCCTCTTTAAGAATGTTGAATATTGGCCCCTGCTGTCTTCTGGCTTGTAGGGTTTCTGCAGAGAGATCCCCTGGTAGTCTGATGGGCATCCCTTTGTGGGTAACCTGACCTTTCTCTCTGGCCGCACTTAACATTTTTTCCTTCATTTCAACCTTGGTGAATCTGATGATTATGTGTCTTGGGGTTGTTCTTCTCAAGAAGTATCTTTGTAGTGTTCTCTGTATTTCCTGAATTTGAATGTTGGCCTGTCTTGCTAGGCTGGGGAAGTTCTCCTTGATAATATCCTGAAGAATGTTTTCCAAATTGGTTCCATTCTCCCTGTCACTTTCAGGTACACCAATCAAACGTAGGTTTGGTCTTTTCACATAGTCTCATATTTCTTGGAGGCTTTGTTCATTCCTTTTCATTCTTTCTTCTCTAATCTTGTCTTCACGCTTTATTTCATTAAGTTGATCTTCAGTCTCTGATATCCTTTCTTCTGATTGATCGATTCAGCTGTTGATACTTGTATATGCCTCACAAAGTTCTCATGCTATGTTTTTCAGCTCCATCACGTCATTTATGTTCTTATCTAAACTGGTTATTCTAGTTATCAATTCCTCAACCCTTTTTTCAAGATTCTTAGCTTCCTTGCATTGTGTTAGAACATGCTCCTTTAGCGTAGAGGAGTTTGTTATTACCCACCTTTTGAAGTCCACTTCTGTCAATTCACCAAACTCATTCTCTGTCCAGTTTTGTTCCCTTGCTGGTGAGGAGTTGGGATCTTTTGGAGGAGAAGAGGTATTCTGATTTTTGGATTTTTTCAACCTTTTTGTGCTGGTTTTTCCTCATCTTCTTGGATTTATCTACCTTTGGTCTTTGATGCTGGTGACCTTCGGATGGGTTTCTGCATGGACGTCCTTTTTGTTGATGTTGATGCTATTCCATTCTATTTGTTGGTTTTCCTTCTAATAGGCCTCTCTGCTGCAGGTCTGCTGTAGTTTGCTGGAGGTCCACTTCCGGCCCTGTTTGCCTGGGTATCACCAGTGGAGGCTGTAGAACAGCAAAGATTGCTGCCTATTCCTTCCTTTGGAAGCTTCATCCAGGAGGGGCACCTGCCAGATGCCAGCCAGAGCCCTCCTGTATGAGGTGTCTGTCGACCCCTGCTGGGAGGTGTCTCCCAGTCAGGAGGCACGGGGGTCAGGGACCCACTTGAGGAGGCAGTCTGTCCCTTAGCACAGCTCAGGCACTGTGCTGGGAGATCCCCTGCTCTCTTCAGAGCCAGCAGCACGAACGTTTAAGTCTGCTGAAGCTGTGCCCACAGCCACCCCTTCCCCCAGGTGCTCTTTCCCAGGTAGATGAGAGTTTTATCTATAAGCTCCTGACTGGGGCTGCTGCCTTTTTTTCCAAGATGCCCTGCCCAGAGAGGAGGAATCTAAAGAGGCAGTCTGGCTACAGTGGCTTTGCCAAACTGCCATGGGCTACCCCCAGTTTGAACTTCCAGGCGACTTTGTTTACACTGTGAGGGGAAAACCACCTACTGAAGCCTCAGTAATGGCAGATGCCCTTCCCCCCACCAACCTCAAGCATCCCAGGTTGACTTCAGACTGCTGTGCTGGCAGCGAGAATTTCAATCCTGTGGATCTTATCTTGCTGGGCTCCATGGGTGTGGGATCTGCTAAGCTAGACCACTTGGCTCCCTGGCTTCAGCCCCCTTTCCAGGGGAGTGAACAGTTCTGTCTCGCTGGTATTCCAGGTGCCACTGGGGTATGAAAAACAACTCCTGCAGCTAGCTCGGTGTCTGCTCAAATGGCCGTCCAGTTTGGTGCTTGAAACCCAGGGCCCTGGTGGTGTAGACACCTTAAGGAATCTCCTGGTCTGTTGGTTACAAAGACCATGGGAAAAGTAGTATCTGGGCCCAGAATGCACCATTCCTCATGGCACACTCCCTCATGGCTTCCCTTGGCTAGGAAAGGGAAATCCCCTACCCCTTGCATTTCCCAGGTGAGGCAACACCCCACCCTGCTTCAGCTTGCTCTCCATGGGCTGCACCCACTGAATAACCAGTCCCAATGAGATGAGCTGTGTACCTCAGTTGGAAATGCAGAAATCACCCAACTTCTGCGTTGATCTCACTGGGAGCTGCAGACTGGAGCTGTTCCTATTCCGCCATCTTGCCAGCCACCCAGAGTGATTTTATAAAGGCAACTATTAGCCTTATTTTTTGGCAGTGGGAATAGTCACAGTGCTAATGGTGTTCATACCTTTCTTTATATCCATGAAAATGTGTAAGTTGAACACTTATAAGAGGAAAACAACCATACTATAAATAAATGTATAACATATACATTAGTTTCCTGGGCTGCCATAGCACATTACCACAAAGTAAATGGCTTACAACAGCAGAAATTTATTCCCTCACAATTCTGGAAGCTAGAAGTCTGAAATTCAGTGTTGACAGGGTTGGTCTCTTATGGAAGTTCTGAGGGAGAATCTTTTCCATGCTCTCTTCTAGGTTCTGGTGGTCGCTGGTAACCCTTGATGTTCTTTGGCTAGGGGACACATCACTCCAATGACTGCTTTCATCTTCTCCTGGTGTCCTCTGCTTTGTGAGGAGGATTCACAAAGTGAGTGCTCTGTGTTTCCCTGAGTCCAAACATCCTCTAAGTCTAATGTCTAAAGACACTAGTCATTGGGTTAGTCCTCGCCGTAATCCAGTATGACCTCATATTAACCCAATTATATCTACAAAGACCCTATCTCCAAATAAGGTCACATTCACAGGTATAAGGGGTTAAGATTTTAAGATATCATCATGAGGAACACAATTTAACCCATAATAACCAGCATCTCCAAAACAGGGTATTTCCATTCAACCAAAATGCTAAAATTACCTTGTGTAAATGAAAGAACAAGTTTTGAAAAGTTATTATTTATGTTTCCACTGGGAATATTAAAATTTGTATCCACTTAATTTGAGAAACATTCATAATAGCAAGGTTTCATATATATGTGTATTATTTGTGGAGATACGCATGCACCCATCCACTTAACTCATATACACACAAACACACAATCTTATACCACACAGGCTTCTGCATGAGGGTGTGATGAGGCTTTACTGTCATGCTTCCCTAGCTGTGCATATGTACATGTGTACAAGCGGAGCATATCTAAATAATGTTCATCTGTCTTTGAACCCATTCCACAAATCACTGTCTGGCAGTGGAGAAATTAAGAAGATTCAGATTACAAAATTAATAAGATTCAGATTACAAAATTAATAAGATTCAGAGTACAAGTTTATTAAATGATGGTGGGTGAGTCATCAACAAACACATGTCAAGTAGTACTTTGTCCCCCCTCTCTTTTTGTTTCTTGAATTTGATGTTCACGGATGTTATGGCTAACTATTCACCTAACCTGTCTCTTCATCCTTGGCCCACACCTAGGTGACATTTCTTAGCCAGTTAGACAAAGCCATGGACCTGACTTCTACTCATCAGAATGTGAACAGAAGGAATATGTGCCACTTCCAGGCTTGGCTCATAAAAACCTGCAATGGATGCTCTTTCCTGGTGTTCCCTCCTTCCTCTGGATTGGCTCCGATGAGCAAAGCATCCTTTTGGAAGCTGTTTTGAAGATGGCAGAGCCATAAGGCAGAAGAAGCCTGAGTTTCTGAGTCACTAAGTGGCAATCATGAACACCCATATTAAGCTTTATTATGTCTAAGCCATTATATAATTTAGGGTTTGTTTGTCACATCACCTTGCACCACCTTAGTATAAATATGTGTGCTACAAACACAAATGGGGATTTAAGCTGGCATAAGTCAGCAGGAATGTGAGAATGACTGAAAAGTAATGTCATTATTATTTGATTGCAATGTTCTCCCTGCCTAACTAGTGCCTTGAAGCCTGTGCAGCTGATCATGCTCTTGAATGCCTTTCATCTTATTGCTGGCTTATGTACATGTGATACAAGGCCATGCATATTTCTCTCTTATTTCAAGCCTTTGACCTGTCTCCTTAACTACATAGTAAACTCGTTGAAGCCTTTTGCTTTGTCTGCTACTGCTCCTAGTTCAGAGTTCAGGACTATTGAATGCTCAATATATATTTATTTATCTGAGGGTAGACTGATTCTTTAAACAAAGCCAAGGGAAAATTTTACCAGCTAAATAATTTTTGGTGTATTTAATGACTTTTAAAACTAGTTTCAAGGCCATAAAGAAATTTAACCCATATGTATATTAATAAATATACTTACAGCATAAACATTAAAAACCATAAATACGATTAAAATCCATTTAAATTACTATTGGTCTCTTCATTTAAGGATATGAAAGAGGTTTTATTGAATTTTTCTCATAGCATTTTGAGAGAAAATGGGACATTCTTAGAAACAAATTTATTTTGAACTGAGACTTTCAATGTGTTTCTTGACACACCTAATGTATCAAATCACAGCTAAAATTAAATTAAAGGAGGAAAAACACCCATGCTATTTCTCAGGTTTAGACACAGTAAACAGGCTCACAAAACCAATGTCAGGCCATCTGTAAATTACTTCCCACATAAACTCTGTTTCACAATCTGGTCCTAAACTAATGAAAATGTAACTCAAGTCCAAGTCAGATTAACCTAAGTTTAACTGGCCTATATGAGAATCCATATGCAACATGTAAAACCATACAACTAAGAGACGAGAGACAAAAAGTGATAGAAGGTAAGGATTTTATCCTTGCAGTGGCTTTTGTCTATTTCTGCCCAGCTTCTGTGCATTTCTCTGGTAACATAATCTATCCCTTTGGCCTCATGAGAGTTCAGAAGACCAGGGCTAGCCCAGTTAGTGTATCCTCCTGTTCTCAGACGTGGAAGCCAGGATGACAATTGATGGTCAGTGATGGTCAGTTGCAACTGACCCTAACTAAGATCTGCCCTGAAATTTTTCCACCTAAGATTAATGGGACAGAACTTCTTTACTCTCCTGGTGGCAGAGTTGTTGGGTTGACTTGAGGGATTCCTGTTGCCCATCACGTGCCAAAGATGATGCAGAGGTAAGAGAGTGAAGTCAGCACAGACGAAAAGCAGATGCCAGACAGAAATGGAGAGAGGGAGCCTTGAGAGCATCAAGGGCCACCAGCATTGTCATTCCCGAGGCCAGTATTATCCTTTGTCCTGAGTTTGGTTTTATGAGCCTATAAATTCCCATTATTGAGTTAAAGCTAGCTTGTGTTAGATTTTTGTCACTTGAAACTAAAAGGCAGTCCTAAACCTGCAGTCCCTAAAGCTAATGTTGTCTTCCCACTCTGGCATGGGACCACTATAGTTGGTTTCTGTTAGTTGGATAATCTTCTGCCCTCAGTAATATCACTTTGGCTATTGATCTGACTCTATTTTTTCAAACTATTTTCCCACAAGACCTTAAAGGGTATATCTTGTATAACATATGCATAATAAATATTCTGAAAGATTAAGAATAATATACCTTGGTATCATGAAAATCTCATAAATATTTGTGCTTAATCTACCTAAAACTCTGGATATCAAAAGTGAACACTGGTCCTGGGAAAAACTGATTAAACTCTTGAATATTTTAGGGAGATATTTATGATTATGCATAAATATTTGTGCATAATCTACCATAAATAATTGTGCATAATCTACCTAAAATATTCTACTTCATGGTAGTCCATTTAACAAGATACTCCATTTAACAAACTAGCAAATGGTTTGCTACTTGATTCAGTAGAATTCTACCACTCTAGGAGACATCTTTATTGTTTTACTAAAACAATGCTTGGTTGGCATGTTTAAAAAAAGACACTTAGAATTCTGTGAAGAAAGTCATTGATAACTTGATGGGGATGGCATTGAATCTATAAATTACCTTAGGCAGTATGGCCATTTTGATCATATTGATTCTTCCTATCCATGAGCATGGAATGTTCTTCCATTTGTTTGTGTCCTCTTTTATTTCATCGAGCAGTGGTTTAAAGGTCATATGGAATCAAAAAAGAGCCTGCATTGCCAAAACAATCCTAAGCCAAAAGAACAAAGCTGGAGGCATCACACTACCTGACTTCAAACTATACTACAAGGCTACAGTAACCAAAACAGCATGGTACTGGTACCAAAACAGAGATATAGACCAATGGAACAGAACAGAGCCCTCAGAAATAATACCACACATCTACAACCATCTGATCTTTGACAAACCTGACAAAAACAAGAAACGGGAAAAGGATTCCTTATTCAACAAATGGTGCTGGGAAAACTGGCTAGCCATATGTAGAAAGCTGAAACTGGATCCCTTCCTTACACCTTATACAAAAGTTAATTCAAGATGGATTAAAGACTTAAATGTTAGACCTAAAACCATAAAAACCCTAGAAGAAAACCTAGGCAATACCATTCAGGACACAGGCATGGGCAAGGACTTCATGTCTAAAACACCAAAAGCAATGGCAACAGAAGCCAAAATTGACAAATGGGATCTGACTAAACTAAAGAGCTTCTGCACAGCAAAAGAAACTACCATCAGAGTAAATAGGCAACCTACAGAATGGGAGAAAATTTTTGCAATCTACCCATCTGACAAAGGGCTAATATCCAGAATCTACAAAGAACTTAAACAAATTTACAAGAAAAAATCAAACAACCCCATCAAAAAGTGGGCAAAGGATATGAACAGACACTTCTCAAAAGAAGACATTTACGCAGCCAACAGATACATGAAAAAATGCTCATCATCACTGGCCATCAGAGAAATGCAAATCAAAACCACAATGAGATACTATCTCACAACAGTTAGAATGGCGATCATTAAAAAGTCAGGAAACAACAGGTGCTGGAGAGGATGTGGAGAAATAGGAACACTTTTACACTGTTGGTGGGCTGTAAACTAGTTCAACCATTGTGGAAGACAGTGTGGTGATTCCTCAAGGATCTAGAACTAGAAATACCATTTGACCCAGCAATCCCATTACTGGGTATATACCCAAAGGATTATAAATCATGCTGCTATAAAGACACATGCACACGTATGATTATTTTGGCACCATTCACAATAGCAAAGACTTGGAACCAACCCAAATGTCCATCAATGATAGACTGGATTAAGAATATGTGGCACATATACACCATGGAATACTATGCAGCCATAAAAAAGGATGAGTTCATGTCCTTTGTAGGGACATGGATGAAGCTAGAAACCATCATTCTCAACAAACTATCGCAAGGACAAAAAACCAAACACCACATGCTCTCATTCATAGGTGGGAATTGAACAATGAGAACACTTGGACACAGGAAGGGGAACATCACACACCATGGCTGGTCATGGGGTTGGGGGAGAGGGGAGGGATAGCATTAGGAGATATACCGAATGTAAATGATGAGTTAATGGGTGCAGCACACCAACATGGCACATGTATATATATATGTAACAAACCTGAACATTGTGCACATGTACCCTAGAGCTTAAAGTATAATAATAATAATTTAAGAAGACACTTGGCGCTATCTTTCTAGCATCCTGTAAGGATTGAGATTCTGGGAAAGTAATTCAATAGAGTAATAAAAGTAGTATCTCCCAGGATACATTTGGGAGCCAATCGTGTGGTGAAAGAGTACTCACTGACTTCAGAATTAGAAAACCTCAGGGACATATTTGGTTGTAAGTGAAAGAACTGTAACTTCTGTGATCTCAAACAAGTTTAGTACCACTAGTCTAGTTGCAACTAATATTGATCATGTTAATGGATAAGTCATATTATTCATATAGGAATTTATTATTTGAATCTGTCATGAGAATACAACCACTTCTTACCTAGTAGTAAATGTAATTTTTTTTAAATTCTGGCATCTGAGTTTTTGTGCCACCTGAGCTCTTGGTGGATTGCAGATTATTATTATTATCTAAATATTCATTGTCAAAAACCCCATAACTAAGAATTTGAAAAGTACCAATTGTCATCACAACATGAAAATGTTTACTAATCAACTCTTTATCAACAATATAAATCCCCACCAAAACATGCCACCCAACTTCACACTGGAGTCTATCCTCCTTCCTCTGGTTCCAAAGTCTTTTCAACTGCACATGAAATGGCAAACCTTGCAAACAATGAAGGATTTTACAAAAGTGAGAAAAGTTTTTTTCTTAGAAAACTGCTGGAATCACATGGAAAGTTACTGACGAATGAAAATCCAGGAGGTTTAGCTGCATTAGCAATTGAAGACAACAAAAATCAATAGACAATGAAATATAGGAATGTGAAATAAAATGATTTGGATATCAAAAGTTAACACTGGTCTTTGGAAAAACCAATTAAACTCCAAATATTTTTGCAAAATAACCCTCTGTTATGTATTACCTTCCTGCCGTAACGCTACTTTCCACCAAAAATGTTATTCTGATTGTTTGTTCTAGGAATGACAGTATAGACAAAATTAAATAATAATCTAAATTTAGTTTAATAAATAAAAATTATTTTTATATTTTTAGCTTTATTTTTCAAGACAAATTCTCAAACAAACCTTTTCCAATTTACTTGGAATTAGAAAAGTTGGTCTCCACTTTAAATGGATTCAATTTAAATGGACTTTTCTTGGTTCCAAGTTTCCTTTGATAATAACAATGTTCCTGTATCTTTATGAAAGCCCTCATAACATCATTCTTGTTTGTGTTTCCTATACCAGATTCAAACTGTGAGCTCCTTAAACACGGGTATCTTTTTAAATTCATCTTTGATTTCCCTAACACCTAGCCAGGTACCTGCTGCTAAGGTTGGCAAAATAAAAAAATTCATGATTGGATGCATCTAACAGATATTCAGCATCTACCTTGTCAAGGGCCTTGGAATGTCCACTTAAGATGAATGTCCTGAGCACTGGAAGTCTAAGTCTATTTCTAGAGGTATAGGCCTAGAATGGATACTCTCTTAAAATCCTTAAATTATGGCAATCCTTACCCTTTTCTGTATTTGCCTTCCTTTGAAAACAAAATTTTCAGGTATATTTTGCCTCACACACACACAGAAACAAGTTTCCAAGATATCCAAAGAAATTGATTGCTTGTAAAACCATCTCTTGTCACTAACAAGAGCCAACTCTTAGATGAGAAATCAACAAGCTCATCTTCCAAGAGTTGCAATACATGCTTGGGAGTGGTCTAGTGTAGTTTCTAGGAGCCAGAGGCACAATAAACTACTGCCAAAATGGTCTTGAGGCAGTCCATAAAGTGATTGGAAGCTGGCTGGACTTAAAATGAAGTTGGCATCAAGAGGGTTTGCACATTCAGCCTGCAGTTGCTAACATGCCTCTTTGATTCACTTAATGGAAAGTAACCCTAACAGAGGCCCTCTCTGCTTGGCCTGGAATTATATGGCTCAGACTAAACATATTAAATTCATTACAGCAAATTGGTCTTTGGCCCCTCGTGCCTGCAGGGATACAGGGAGGACAAAAGCCCTGCTGCTGTCAAGACATTGGAAATCTGCTGCTGGAGATACACAGTGAGGTGGGGATGGATTTTACACAGATTCAAAGTGGGAGTCATTATCTAATTGAAATAGATTGATTTAACGGCTTAGAGGATGATATAATGAGCCTGAGGAGGAACCCATAAAGGGCTTTTGTGAGCCTGAACAAGCATTCTGAAAAAACATCCCTGGAGTTTCATGCAGTGCTATATGAGCTCTTCATTTGGAGGCTTTGGAAGCCACATGCAGACCAAAATTAACAAGAATACTTGACATCACTTTTTTTCCTTAAAGAGAGAATAATGAGAAGCATCATAAGGCAATTCAATTTAGTGATCACCTACTATGCACCAGGCACCCTATTAGGCACAGTGTTATCCTGTCCTAAAAGTGCTCCCAGAGTTATTAAACAGGGCATATGGGTCAGAATTGCATCTAGATGTGGCCCAAACACAAATAAATTCTATTGAAATGTAGTATAAAAATTTAAAAGTTGTAGGGAATTTAAAAATACACCAAATATCCAAAGCAATCCTGAGGAAAAAGAACAAAGCTGGAGACGACACACTACCACACTTCAAAATATACTACAAAGCTATAGTAACTGAAACAGCATGGTACTGGCATAAAAACAGATATATAGAACAATGGAACAGAATACAGAACCCAGAAAATAATCCACATATCTACAGTCAACTGATTTTTTTAAAGAGATGGGGTTTCACCATATTGCCCAGGTTGGTCTCGAACTCTGGGCTCAAGTGATCCACCAGCCTCGGCCTCCCAAAGTGTCAGGATTACAGGCATGAGCCACCACACCCAACCTATGGTCAACTGATTTTTGACAAAGGCACCAAAAACACTTCTTGGGGAAAGGAGAGTCTCTTCAATAAATGGTGCTGGGAAAACTGGATATCCATATGCTAAAGAATGACACTAGACCCTCACCTCTCACTCTATACAAAAATCTTCTCAAAGTGGACCAAAGACCTAAATGTAAGACACAAAACTATAAAACTATTAGAAGAAAATATAGAAGAAACACTTCAGGACACTGGTCTGGAAAAAGATTTTAGGAATGAGACTTCAAAAGCACAAGCAACAAATGCAAAAATAAACAAATGAGATTATACTAAACTAACAAGCTTCTGCACAGCACACCAAAAATCTTCTGCCAAGCAAAAAATCAACAGAATGAAAAGCCAACCTAAAGAATAGGACAAAATATTTACAAACTATTCATCTGACAGGGGATTAATATCCAGAATATACAAGGAACTCAAACATCTCAACAGCAAAAATACAAACAAGCCGATTTAGAAAGAGTAAAAGGACCTATACAGTCATTTCTCGAAAGAATACATAGATGTGCAAATGGCCAACAAATATATTTTTTAAATGCTCAACCTCACCAATCAACAGGGAAATACAAATCAAAACCACAATGAGGTGTCACCACAATCTAGTTAGAATAGCAATTATCAAAAAGACAAAAAAAAAAAAAGCGGGGAGTGGGGGCAGGCACAGTGGCTCACGCCTGTAATCCCAGCACTTTGGGAGACCAAAGCAGGCAGATCACGAGGTCAGGAGATCAAGACCATCCTGGCCAACATGGTGAAACCCCATCTCTACTAAAAATACAAAACTTAGCTTGGTGTAGTGATGTGCGTCTGTAGTCCCAGCTACTTGGGAGGCTGAGATAGGAGAATCTCTTGAACCCGGGAGACGAAGGTTACAGTGAGCCAAGATCATGCCACTGCACTCCAGCCTGGCGACAGAGCAAGACTCCGTCAAAAACAAACAAACAAACAAAAGCAGGCTGGCAAGGATTCCCACCAAATCTTGCACACAGTTAGTGGGAATGTAAACTTGGATAGCCACAATGCACAATGGAGAACAGGATGGAGGTTCTGCAAATAACCACAAATAGAATTACCATATGACCCAGCAGTCGCATTACTGGCATTTATCTAAAGGAAGGGAAATCAGAGTATTGAAGAGACATCTGCATCCCCCTGTTTACGACAGCATTATTCACAATAGCCAAGATTTGGAATCAACCTAGGTGTCCAACAACAGTTGAATGAACACACACACACACACATACACACAATGGAATACTAGTCAGCCATAAAAAGAGTGAAATCCTGTCGACATGAATGGAATTGGAGGACATTATGTCAAGTGAAATAAGCCAGGAACAGAAAGTTAAACACTCATGTTCTCCCTCACATGTGGATGCTTAAAAATAGTTGATCTCACAGAAGTACCAACTAGAACAGAGGATACTAGAGGCTGGGAATGGCCGGGGAAAAGGGAGATAGGGGGAGATTTGTTAAAGGATGTTAAAGTTACAGCTAGATGAAGGAATAAGTTCTAGAGTCTTATACTACTGTAGGATGACTACTTTTAACAACAATATACAGTTTAAATAGCTAGAAGGAGGACATTGACTGTTCCCAACACAAAAAATGATTAGTGTTCAAATGATGGACATGCTAATTATCCTGACATGATCACTATATATTATATGTATTGAAATATCATATGTACTCCAGAAATATGTGCAATTATTATATGTCAATTTAAAAAAGAGAAGAATGAAAAAAAATTCAGGCAAAACAAACCCTAAACTTTCAAGGTGGCTGAACATTGGAACAAGATTTTTAAAACATCACATGTACATGTTTGTTGGGCAAGTCCACCTTGAGTGATTTGTGTTAGAGTTGGAGGCTGCGTGTGAAGCTTCCTGGAGTACTTTTAAGCCTCTTGACACTAGATCTGTTCAAGAGTGAAATTCAACAGAGGGCAGTGCTTAAATAGTAGCTTTTATGGGATTGTGAATAAGGTGTAATTCCAGGTTGAGGATTTCAGCTAGAATGGCAGGTGAGAAAGTCCCAAATGGCTTCCTTTCTACAGGGCTGCTGCAAACCTTGGACTTTGAAGCTAGCCACATAATGTCTACTAGCATATTAAATTTAGCTCTAATTTTTCTCCTTAAAAAGAAATTTTGAGTTAGTTTAAAAAGAAGCCAATTAACAAAAAGATTAGTAAAATAGAAATATCAATTAATAAACAAATAAAACAGGAGGGTGTAAATATATTACTTCAAATGCTGAAGCTAAAAATTTGCCTATATAGTTTCCTTGCAGTCAAGGCAAAAATGGAAACATAATTGGTTGCATTACTCTCATTATTGGAAAAAGGAGTCAAATCAGTTGTTTAAGGAAGAAAATAAACCTCTTAAACTCTAGAAGAAATTTCTCACATGGAGCTTTGTTCCGAAAGTATTAAGTTATATAAAGAATAATTGTCATGTATTTTTTGCAGAGCAAATTAAAAAGTGAACGTCATCTGCTTGTTTCATGTAGCAACTTTTTATTCTTTTGCTAAAAGCTGAAATAATACTATTAAAGCATAACTTAGAGTGAACAAAGTATTCTGCATTCTAAGTGTCTAATTTGAGTCAAGGTTAGAACTTAGAGATGTAAATTGATCCACAGGAAAGTAAGGATCTTTGCATTTAATGAATGATATCTGAATAGACTTCCTTACATGCTCTGAAATGGAAAAACATACATCTGTGTGTTAGTCCGTGAAGGGGTAAAACAGCTTACCCCTTCGTTTTAGAGATCACACATTTTTTTTCTCTCTTCCCACAGCATTTGCAGTTCCACCAATAACGCTCCCTATAATACACAGTGATTTTCAAATGGATGGGACAAGAGTGATGGAAAGGTGCTACCAGATATTCTGAAAGACCACATTCTTCAAGGGATAGACCTGCCTGCTTCCACTTGAGAATTTCTGCTTCAGATAACTTCTCTGTATGCAATTTCCTTCATCTTAGTTTTTGATGAGAGCATAGCGTTAGACGTTTTGAACTTGATATATTGGATGGGGTTCTGAGTGCCAACTGAAAGCACATCCCAAAAAGAAGGTCCAATTGCCAGTAGAACGTTGACAAGTTCCACCTGGGGTTCTCACTAGGAACTAGATTACAAAACTCCAGAGTTTCCATATAAACATAGCTATATATTTACTCTGGTATTTGAAAAAGAAAATCTAATTCAGTCCCCCAAATCTCTTGTCCTAGAAAAGGCAGAAATTTTATATTGGCCTCGATGTTCTTCAAAGATTAGAACTGGTGCAGTTATAGAAAAACTCCAGGAATGCTTCTAAAGTGCCTGCCAGGATATCATCATATCTATAAAGGATCAGGCTCCATTCTTTACCATTTTCCTGGGAACATGGGCTGCATAGGACAACACTTTTAGATGACTACTGCTGGGTGAAATTTGACCAGGGGAGAAAGACATCAACCTGAATGGTCCCTCCTACCTATAGAATTACAATTTGATCTCATCCTTTAACTCCACCTCTTCTCCAATCCAGGAAATGGTGGCTGGAGAAGGGGAAAACAAAGGCCTTTAGCACATTCTAGAGAAGAAGCAGAGGGACATGCAGTCACTGCACCAAAGACATCACACACTTTACCTACTTGGAACCTTTGGGCGAGGTAGATGGCGGGTGACTCTAAGCTACTATGTAGTAAACATGGAGTGCTTGACACTGAACGGCCATTACTTAAAGGAATTATCGCTTCTTTTAAGCCCAGAATATTAAGGAAACCAACTGAACAAATAAAAGCATATTAAATGTATGTCTTTTGTCATCCACAAGGAAAGCATTCTCTGTGAGACAACTTTTAATAATCTTTTCAATGAGTTCAATCCATTAAATTTATTATGTGAGGGAATGGAGGAAAAAGAGCAGAAATTCCAGATAGAAATGGATGCATGGAAGAGATATTTCACTCACATTGTATCCCTGGACTCCCATCCAATCAACACCAAGTCCAGCTGATTTGGCCCTCTCAATCTCTCTCAGTATTTTCTATCCTCTCCATTCTACACACCGGCTCTTGTCTCAGCCACGGCCATCTCTCCCAAGGCTACTGCAATTGCCTCCCAAGGACTCCTTTTTACTTCATCCACCATGATTGAACCCACAAGTGTGAGCATAACATTCACTTGGCTAAAAATCTTCTATGGCTTTCCATTTTGCTTAGGATTAAAACACACACACAAAGACACACACCCCTAACAAACAAACAAAAGAGCAGGGCCTCAGGGCCTAGGGGCCTCCTCTCACCTACTTCTCTGCATGTTTACCCTCTATATACACTGGGCTTCTTTCAGTTTTTCAAACATACCATACTTCTTCCTGCCCTCAAGGATTCACACTTGCTGCTTCTACCTGCCAACTTTCTTTCCCTGAATAATGCATGCTCTAGGTCTCAGGTAAAATGTTATTTCCTTCACAACCCCAGTCTTCTCAGACTCCTCACTCTTGATCAGCTCCTATAGCACCCTAAATCTCTCCATGATAATACTCAGAGCACTTTTACCCATTTATTAAACACCTGTCTTCCCCAGTGATTGAAAGTTTCATGAGAGAAGAGGCAAGATCTTTTTGTTTCAAATTGGTATCTACAGATTCTAACATAGTAACAGACACTATTATCCCAATTTTAGAAATGAGAATATTGAGACTTTGAGAGTTAAAATTATTTGTCTATGATCTTTAAACTCATAAGTAAAACTGAGCATCTCAACTTTGTCTATCTGGCACAAAAGTCTATATATGTGTATATATATACACACACACATATATGTATGTGTGTGTATATACACACACATATGTACATATATATGTACGCATATGTACATATGTATATGTGTATATACACACACGTACATATGTATATGTGTATATACACACACGTACATATGTATATGTACATGTATATGTATGTGTCTGTGTGTGTGTGTGTGTATATATATATATATAATTTCACCTGACTCCTATGATTCATGGACAAAGACATAGAAACATAAGAAATAAGTATTGGGTGCTGTATTAGTTCATTTTCACACTGCTATAAGGAAATCCCTGAGATTGGGTAACTTATAAAGGAAAGAGGCATGGCTGGGAGGCCTTAGGGAACTTACAATCATGGTGGAAGGGGAAGCAGGCACCTTCTTCACAAAGCAGCAGGAGAGAGAGTGTGCAAAGGAGGAACTGTCAAACACATATAGAACTATCAGATCTCATGAAAACTCACTATCATGAGAACAGAATGGGGGAAACCGCCCCCATGATCCAATCACCTCCCTCCCTCACACGTGGGGATTACAGATATCTCCCTCAACATGTGGGGATTATAATTTGAGATAAGATTTGGGTGGAGACACAGAGCCAAACCATATCAAGTGCCTATTATGTTCTTGGAAATCTATGCTATTGTAATTAATCCTTACTACCCTGTGTACTGTCCTTCTCACTTGTCTCTGTGACTAGATGTAAATTATTTGAGGTCAGAAACCTTGTCTTTTATTCTTGTACATACTTGACATGTACCATTAGGTCCTAAACACAAGAGAAGAATAGTGTG
The DNA here is from genome assembly GCF_000001405.40 of Homo sapiens. Lineage (NCBI taxonomy): Eukaryota > Metazoa > Chordata > Mammalia > Primates > Hominidae > Homo > Homo sapiens. The sequence goes on along the minus strand of NC_000004.12, from coordinate 154,094,722 downwards.
CTTAGTGATTATGAGCATTTACTGACTGTTTGAAGAGTAATAATTTGGAAAAATCACCTATTGGAAGAGAGGGATTGGGAGGGACTGTAAGGATAATTTTGGTCAGAAAGACACAGGAAATTCATGCCTAAAAGCATGTACACACATACAAGCACTCTCTATACTAAAAGCATAGCAACTACAGATGAAATACATAAAGAAAAAATCATGAAGACATAGCTAGGCTCAGAAAATAAGACATTCCTATTGACCATAAATAGATCATAAATGTAAATTGCTGAGTAGAGATGAAGCCTTGGGCATGCTGAAATCTAGTGTTAGAAGGTAGGAATGAAAGTTGGGGGAGTGAACAAAAACTGGCCCCTATGAAATGATTGCAACTAAAAGTGTCTGCTGTGAGCCAAAACTAAAATAGAGAAACTAACAACTAGGATATGAATTGACCCAAGGTAAAGCTAATTTTATAGGGTAGTCTGATAAAGTATTAATAGAAAAGTGGGCGAAGGACATGAACAGACACTTCTCAAAAGAAGACATTTATGCAGCCAAAAAACACATGAAAAAATGCTCACCATCACTGGCCATCAGAGAAATGCAAATCAAAACCACAATGAGATACCATCTCACACCAGTTAGAATGGCAATCATTAAAAAGTCAGGAAACAACAGGTGCTGGAGAGGATGTGGAGAAATAGGAACATTTTTACACTGTTGGTGGGAGTGTAAACTAGTTCAACCATTGTGGAAGTCAGTGTGGCGATTCCTCAGGGATCTAGAACTAGAAATACCATTTGACCCAACAATCCCTTTACTGGGTCTATACCCAAAGGATTATAAAACATGCTGCTATAAAGACACATGCACATGTATGTTTATTGCGGCACTATTCACAATAGCAAAGACTTGGAACCAACCCAAATGTCCAACAATGATAGACTGGATTAAGAAAATGTGGCACATATACACCATGGAATACTATGCAGCCATAAAAAAGGATGAGTTCATGTTCTTTGTAGGGACATGGATGAAGCTGGAAACCATCATTCTCAGCAAACTATCGCAGGGACAAAAAACCAAACACCACATGTTCTCACTCATAGGTGGGAATTGAACAATGAGAACACATGGACACAGGAAAGGGAATATCACACACCAGGGACTGTTGTGGGGTTGGGGGACGGTGGAGGGATAGCATTAGGAGATACACCTAATGTTAAATGACGAGTTAATGGGTGCAGCACACCAACATGGCACATGTATACATATGTAACTAACCTGCACGTTGTGCACATGTACCCTAAAACTTAAAGTATAATTAAAAAAAAGAAATATATTTAGAAATTCGAAAAGATAAGAAATAAGAAATAATAAGATGCAATATATAAATTAAAAACAAAAATGACAAAACAATAAGAAATTAAGTATAATAAATAGAAAATAAAAATCAGAAGTCTTAAGAATGAAAAGTAAAATACATAAAATAAAAATGCAACATACTACATGTATGCTAGATAAGAAGTGGTTGAAGAGTGAATTCGAGTACTAAAAGATGGCACTAAGAAATTCACCCACAACACAAAGACACTGAAGTCAGGAACATAAGAGAGTTAAGAATCAGGATTGTTTGAGAAACACCAACATTTATTTAATGAGAGTTTGAGAAAAAGAAAATGGAAGGAATATGAAGAAATATTTATTGAGAGTTTTTCAAAAGTGAAATCATGACACCTCAGATTAAAAATCCACTGTAAATACCAATAAGAATAAATAAAATTATCCCACAGAAACCCATTATAGAAAAACTGTAAAACATCAAGGAAAGATATCATCTTGTTGTAAAAAGACATGTTAGCTACAAAGGAACAACCAGAACGATCCACGTTTCTTGAGAGAAACAATATATGCCAGGGGACAAAAAAAATTCCTAAATGCTCCCTGAAAACAGGGGTTGTATTATGGTTGTATTCAGCTAAACCATCATTTCAAAAGGGGGCAAAATAAACTTTCAGAATATATAAGAATGGTAAGACTACATATCTCATATAAGAATAAAAATAGTTTACCTTCCACAGAAAATAATTATTGAAAAAAATATTTTAAAAAGTAAACCCAGAAAGTAGGGAAGAATATAGGAAGCAATGATGAGCAGAAAAATCATTAAAAATGCCAATAAATTTAATCAAGTATTAGCTATAAAAATAAATAATAAACATTTCCTGTTACAAAAATATTGAAACATTTAACAGTTATAAAACAGGTGTGTAGTTCAATATATAGTTAAAGAGTGCTAAGACCCTTGCTCAGGAGGAGACTGGAAATACCCAACAATTTTAATTTTGTTGAAAAGTTTATACTTGAGTATATAGATATAGATATAAAACCAATGCACATGTTACACATACTGTTTGATGTCTCATGTCTCCCTAAAATGTATAGAACCATGCTATACCCTGACCACCTTGGGCATATGTCATTAGGACCTTCTGAGGCTGTGTCACAAGCATGTCCTTATCCTTAGGAAACTAAACTTTCTAAATTGATTCAGAAAAAACAAGAAGTTTAAAGGTAAAATTATTTAAAGGTATAATCTTTAGCTGCCTTACCAGCAGAGGTAGGAAAATAATTGCAGAAAATATTATTGACTCAAAAGACCAAAGAGAAGGAGAAAAATAGAAACAAAGGTAAATGATCATAAATCAAAAATACAAATTAAGATGATGAAAATAGAGATAAATATATCCTTAATCACAATAAATATAATTGATTATGCTTAGCTATTGAAGAACCTAGATCTTTAAATTGGTTCATGTGAATACACTTTGTGTGTGTGTGTGTGTGTGTGTGGTGAGAGAGACAAGAAAGAGAGAGACCTATAGACTGATTGATTGATACAGATAGATGTCTATATAACCATATATATGTATGTAATATCAAGTTATATGTTCTTTAAAAGAAAAACACCTGAAAAAAACCACACAGAAAGGAATACTGATGTAACAATATTTACATCAGACAAAATAGATGTTAAGGGAGAAAGCTTTATTGAAAAACAGAAGGAAACAATATAATAATAAAAGTAATAAAATAAGACGTTATAACAATAATGAACTTAAATATGCCAACAACATACACTTGAATACACATAGTGTCACACACACACACACACAAACACACATACAAATAGACAAAATCATGGCAGAAATTTACAAATCCACAATTGTAGTAGATATATTGTCACATTTCTATAAGATAGTAATAGATCAAGTGAGAAAAAAATAGCATGGACTTAAAAATCTGAACCACAAAACTAACAAGCTTGAGCTAATAAATGCATTTTCAGAACTGACCACATTCTAGCTCATAAAAGATATCTTAACAAATTACAGAGATTCAGAACCATACAAGTCACATTCTCTAACCATAAATTGATTAAGTAACAAATAAAATAAAACATAATTTTAAAATTTCATATCCTAGGGAATATAAAGTTCAAATCTTAAATTACTGATGAAATAAAGAGGAATCACAGTGGAAATTATTTAGAATGAGATGTTAGTGAAGTTAGCACATGCAAAAACTTACAGGAAGCAATTCAAGTGGCACTTGTATAATTTTTTTCAATAAGAAAAATGGAAAATAGATACATTAAACCCAAAAACATAGGAAAAGAAAATACAAATAAACCTATAGAACACAGAATTAATAAATAAGAAAAAAATATAAAGAATTAAGACCTCCAAAACTGGTCTTTAGAAAAATCTAATGAAATACACAAATCTCTAGCAAGACAAATAAGAAAAATAACATGAATATACACAAATAAACATTATCAGGAAAAATGAGAGAAGATGTAACTGCAGAAACAGTGGAAATATTTAAAAGAAAATATTAAAATACAATATATATTCTAATTAATTTTCAAAAATGTAGATGAAATGGTATAATAGTCCATAAAATATTAATTATTAAAATTTTCTCAAATGAGTAACCATTTAAAATGTTGACTATCAATTATTCTATTGGTGGGGGTTGAGAATGGGGTAAGAATGTAAGAGGACATGGTTTTAGAAGCAAGTTATAACAAATTTACAAGGAACAGATAATCTCTATTTTATAAAAACTGTTTTAGATAATTGACAATGAAAGAAAGTTGCTGAATACTTCTAGAAAGCTAGTTGACCCCAAAATAAAAAAGGACAATATAATTATAGTCCAAATTTACTTACGAATAGAGATACAAAAATATTAGTCAGCTGAATTTAGTCATTTTCATATTGATCAAGTTGGGTTTAGTACAAGGATAGAAGAATGGTTGAATATCAGAAAATCTACTGATCTTTTACACAACATTAACAGATTAAAAGAAAAATGTTTGTCTAACTGATGCACAATTTTTTTGATAAATTGCAACATTTACTCACTTATGATTAAAATTCTTGGTAAGCTAGGCATAAAAGAAAACCTCTTTAACCTGGAAAAGAGTTTCTATCAAAAAGTTGGATCAAACAGTACATTAGTTATAAAACTGTTAATCCAGTTTCATTAAATCAGGAACCACGTGCTCCTTAATCTCCATTGTTATGCAGTTTTATACCTGAGGATGCTATCTAATATAACTAGCCCAGAAAAGGAAATAAAACTTGTAGGAATTGGAAAAGAAGAATCAAAGCTTCACTCTCCTGCTCAAAGTTTCCCTATCTTCATCTGAACTCACCTCATCCAACATGTACCTTCACTTTTAAGGAATCAAGTCACCACTCTCCTCTGCTTTGAGTCAGAGATACCCTCTCTTCTAATTGTCAGAGAGAAAAGCAGTTAACTTGATGCTCCATGGGTAGGGGGAGGAAGATATCAACAGGTTTCCTTTTCTGATTTGTAGTTGATTTTTGCGTAAGAGGCTAAAACTTTCTGACACATTACACATGATGAAAATAAGCTTTCTCCCCAAATCCCTCATCAAGCTTACGAGATTTTCTCCAGTTATATAAATTTGTACTTATTATTATTTGTCCTTTACTAGCCTCAGGATTCTAAAACAAAACTTGGTAAAGAAGATCTCCATAATAATCACTTAACCCAATTTCTTATGATTTTCTTCTGACCAGCAGACAAAGGCTATCATCCTAAAATATAATTATTTCAACATAAAAGTTCTTTAAAAATGTGGTTATTCTTTGACCTACTGATTATACTTTTAGAAATTTATTCTGAGGAAAATAACACATGTTGTACAAGGATATATATCTCAATACTTTTATAATAGTAAAAAATTTGAATAATGTACATGTTTAACAATATGGAATTGATTAAGTTATAGGCTATTAATCTCATGAAATGTTTTGCAACCAATAAAAAATCATGTTGTAGTAAAACATTTGCTGACATGAGAAAAATGTTTTTGATATCTTGCTAAGTGATAAAGCAGACTACTAAACCTTGTTTGATAAATTATACTATCATTTTGATGATAGTTACATGACTGGGAAAATACTAAAAAGACCTACAACAAACATCTGAATTTTCTTCTTTCAGAATGGTGCGATTATAAGGTATTTTCTGCTTATTTGTTTGTTTGTTGTTTTTCTTTGTGCCTTTTCATGTGTTCCAAATGAGAAAGAAAAAGAAGCCCCTGAGAGCTATCAGCTGGAAGCTGGACTGGCTCTAATAGCTGCATCATACTGTTCTCCTGATGAACATAATTTCACACTGCACCAACAGCATGTGACCTTTATCTGTAACCATGATGAAGTAAAACAAACACAGGACCACTCTGTAAACATGTCTGAGCACAGACAAAAATAAAAACGCTGTGCAAACCACAAAGAGCCAAATATGAGTGACTTCAACTTCCTTGCTGACTATAGTGTTTGTTAACCTACTCTGTTCTCCTACCTCCTAAGATAAAAACTTGTAATATAATTATAGAATTCCCCTTCTTCCACTTCCTCCCAATCCACACATCCTCGAACCCTACCCAAAATACCCAACACAAGCTAATCCTAACGAGCCCCTGTAACAGCCTCTTACTGCTATGGTTTTCAGCAGCCTCCCTTGCTACAGCAAAATCCACAAATCTAACTTTTAGAATAGGTGTGTTTCTTGTGGTATTTGGCCAAAGATGGTCATTGACATAAGTTGTATGCATGGAGCATGTGTTCCTTTTGCAATTAAAGATAAAAATATTTAAAATTGAATAATCTCCATCCATTAATATGTCAAGTGACTTCAACCTCCAGAAAAAAGGTGGACTCTCAGCTACCTACCACTGGGCTCTTGCATTCACAACCAGCCAGTCCACCAACCTGCCACAGGAGCTGAGGTCCTCAGGTGTCATCGGCTTTGAGGACCATCAAAGGCATTGCAGGCACATGCAAAACAGTGTTTCTCAAAAGCAATACTAGTGATATTTGGGCCAGACAATTCTTTTTGTGGGACTGTCCTATATATTGTAGGATGTTTAGCAGCATCTCTGACCACTACCTACTTGATGCAAGTAGGACCCCTCTTGTGACAACAAAAAATGTCTCCAGACAATGTCCCCTAAGAGGGAGGAAGGGAAAAAATTGCTCCCAGTTGAGAATCATGAATGCAAAGGAGGCCGGTGAAAAGAGGAAAGATATTGCATAAGTTATTAGAAGGACTGGGGATGGTCTTCTCCCTCCCTGGGCCATGGATTCTTCATCCTTGAAAATGGAGGTAGTCAGTTCTGCCTACCTCATGGAAATAGTAAGAAGAAGGGATAGAAAAGATAGAAATAGGCTTGAAAGTAGCTAAAGAGATAACTATTTAGTCAGTAAAGATGTATCAAATGCCTACTGAGTGCTAGATATAGAGAAAGGGTATTCTAATACCATCAAAGAGTACAAACTGAAAGCATGCAAAGGCCCTAAGTCTGATTGTATGTACACAGGAAAATGACAAAATGGAGTTATTATGGATCGTTTAAAATAGCAAAACATAGCAATCGTTATAACGATGTATTCAGAAATAGTCATATAACTAAGGCAAATTTTTGTAATTTGGATTTGTCCAATGTAGCTTAGTAGGGAGAACCAATTTTCATCTAAGAAATAAGAATCAAATTATTTCTTCTGAAATCAGTCCTTCAGAGAGTGTTCTTAATTTTGGCTTCAATTTTAATGCAGAACTGCAAACTCCATTCAGGTATCTCTGAGTCATTCTTGACTGATTTTTTTGAATGGGTAGAAGGTGGGAAGAAAATAAGCAAAGAGAAATGTAACACAATATGTTCATGTGTGCTTATATGCTGGGAACAATCTTCTTTGGAGCTTCTAAATGAGTAAGAATAACAGGACAACAGTCAAAAATGGAGAAATATAGAGTCACAACATAATAATTTGAATAGCTTTTAAGTAACAGTAGCATAAGACCAAAATTACTACATGGAAAGATGACTGAATGCAAGTGGCATAGTTTACAGTATAAGCTCCATAGGACACTTTAAAAAGATATTCTAAACAATAAAATTTAGCCTCAAAATTTTAACAAAATATTCTCTTTCTAAATACAATGGGTTTTTTGTTTGTTTGTTTGTTTGTTTTTTAATTTATTTTTTTTTTAGACGCAGTCTTGCTCTGTCGTTCAGGATGGAGTGCAATGGTGCAATCTCGGCTCACTTCAACCTCTGCCACCTGAGTTCAAGTGATTCTCCTGCCTCAGCCTCCCGAGCCACTGGGATTACAGGCACCCACCGCTGCACCCAGCTAATATTTGTATTTTTAGTAGAAGCGGGGTTTCGCCATGTTGGCCAGGCTGGTTTCGAACTCCTGACCTCAGGTTATCCGCCCGCCTCGGCCTCCCAAAGTGCTGGGATTACAGGTGTGAGCCAGCACGCCCAGCCGGGTTTTGTTGTTGTTGTTGTTGTTGTTTTTCTGAAAAATAGAAATCAGCTATTTCCATTTATACATATTTTATTGAAATGTGCTGTGAGGGACCTTTTTAACCACCCTCAAACAACCAAATGGAAGACTTGCCCTTCTTTGCAAAGGATGAGATGTTTCTTATCTCACTTTTTAAAATGTAGAAACAGGGCTGATCCGGGGTTATAAAACAAGCTTTCACAAAACTGAGAAGCCAAGATTAAAATCTTTCTCCTGCATGGTAATTTAATGCAATAGTTACTATAGGAAAACAAGACAGTTAAAAAATGGATTCAAGTGTTGAAAGATGTTACATTGGGATGTGTAAAGGAATCCAGGGATAACCTGATCTCAGTAGATAACTGTTTGAGCTTTGGGGGTTTTATTTACATTGTGGTGAATCAGAAAAAAAACCTTTGGGAAACGGCTTCGTGACTACCTAGTATAGCCTTTAACAGAGCTTAAGACAACACAGGCTTCTAGCTCCTCCCAGCTCCCACCTCAGCTCCACAACTCACAGAAACTGCTCCCCAGTACAGGAACCTGATATCAGTACTCCTTTTTCCTTCCTGCCAAAGCGTCCCATTTTCCCATACAAAAGTATCTGGCAAAATTATAAAATAAATGAAATAAAGAGAAAATGATCCGGGATAATTTCAAGACACTGAAAGGTTTACACAGGGAAAGAGGAAATTTTATCATTTGATGTTTGCATCTAAGTAGAAAACTTTACACAATCATCTGACCCAGTTTTATCATCTTTCCTTTGTCTTTTTTTTTTTTTTTTTTAAGAAATATTCCTGCTGGCAAATAAGCCTTTTTGGTCAGTATTGTAGACAGTAGGCTATGCCTATCTTCCTTCAGAAAGTTGCACTTGATGCTTCATAGATACTTTAATACACGATTGTTTTCAGCACTGATACATTTCACTTTGTTTATTTCTATTTCCAATAAAAGATAATGAAAAGTAAGGAAACGTGCTATTAAAGTTGCATCCTTGTGCTACTACTTGACTCAATCTTTACATCTAGATGCTCACATGGCGTGCCCATTTACTATGGTGCTGCACCATCATGCTGAGGCAATCGGGACTTAGGATGTCTAAAGGATGGGTTCCTCATCATGGGGTGATTAAATAATGGGGAGAGGGAGCCCAAGCCTCTAGGAGGAGGAAAATGCCCACAAAATAGGAGATTCTTGCATACTTGGAGATGTTTAAGCGTCTATCTGCTACTTGGAAAGCCACTTTCCACCCTGGAACTACCTGGCACTTAATATACATGAAGTGTGGGTGTTCCACTCTTCTAATATTTCAGATAAAGGTGGTTGAGACCTTTTAGCAGCTTGTAATTTTTTGTAATTTTAATCATTCACAGTAACATGGACTTCACTAGACTGTTGATTATCAAACTGTCTACACATTTGAATAGCCTGGAGAGCTTTTTTAAAAAGTACCTATGCCTGTGCCCCAGAAATCCTGATTTAGTTAGTCTGGTGTGGGCCTTTGGCATCTGTATTTTTTGGGAACTTCTCAGGTGATCCTAATGTTCATCCAACATTGAGAACTGCTGGATTAGACTCTGTCTCTCTCTCTGATCTACTGAACCAGAAGTTCTTGGAAGAAATCCCTGGCAATATGTGTTTCCCAAGCACACTCTCAGTGCTCTGATTTCAGCAAAAAATTTCCAAATTCAATATTTATTAGGTTTTCTCTATAACCCTGTGCAGTGGACTATGAAGATGCTTTCTCCCTTATGCAGATGATGAATCAGTGGCTCAGAGAGGTTAGATGATTCACCCAAGTTCACCTGGCCAGAACTGACAGCCTGGGCCAGGACTTCTGACTCAGTAACCTTCATCCTGCTCCTGCTGAATGCATAGAATGTCAACTACATAGGTGTAGTTTGGGTCTCACTGTTGACTAGGTGCTTAATAAGTCTTCATGCTTTCATGATATTTCCGAGTCTTCTTTGTTGACAGATGGCAGAGATTTCTTTTGTTCTAATAAAAGTGTCTCAAATTGTGCATCCCCTTAACATTTCCTAGTCCCCTTCCATACTTTATTTTTCTTCTCCGCCCCATCTAGCATACCTTATATTTTACCATTGTTTATTTGGCTTCTGAGTCTGTAAATGACTTTACTGTCCCCCATGGCTTCCGCACAATGCTAGAGGAGTCGCTTGGGCTTCTCTCTCTTCGATAGAGGCCCTGGAAACCTCCACTTGGAAGAGCCCACTCAGTGCTACACAAGCCCCAACCCCAGCAAGCTGGGGCCCTGGAGCAGCAGCCGCTGGCCCCCTAACTACAGTCATTGTGCTCTTATTGTATGCAGAATATTGTGAGATTGGCAGGCAGCAAGACCTACAGGTAAGTCCCTACCCTGTTAGTTTGTCTGATTTATTGTGTCTCTAGCACTAGGTATTTTTAATGTTATTCACTCTTTTATTCCCAGAATCTAGAGGCAGTCCTTAGGATACAGCTTTTGAATGAATAAGTGGTTGAGACAATGGAAGCTCCTTCATCTCTAGTTAACAGGCTATGTCTAGGCCTCTTGGTTCTTCCTAGGAACAGTCCTGTGTTATTTCCTAAACTAATGGTCAAACTGGCCCAGTTTCTGGCTCTGTTTTTTCTTTAATATGATTTGTTAAACATACTTCTCATGTGCTGTTGAGCTAGCTTGTCAGTTTTATAATTAACACAGAAACAAATGGAGCCATCTTTTGTTGCTTTCATCAATAAAAGAGTACCTGTGAGACTACACCAAAAAAGAAAAATTGTGAAAGTTTAAGTCCTTTCTCAATGCATATATATGCCATTCATTCTTTTTCCCATTATTTATTGGGTTCTGGAGATCAACGACTTCCTGAAGGAGAGCCAGGACAGGAACTCCATTCATCAGAGCTTTGAAACAGCATGAGGAGAATGGATGTGCCTTTGGCCTGGAAGAAATGAAGCATTTCCAAATATTTCATTCCGTTTGATGAAGAGACAGAGCTGGTTTCAGGAAAGTGGTTTGTTTTCTCTAGAGGTTATATTGAAATGTTTTCTGGCATTTCACTTAATAATGAAAATGGCAAAATAAATATGCATTAGTCTGTTTTACTTGAGGCAGGATCAATGAATCCTCTGACATGCTGGGCACACCATCAGCTTACCAGCAGAGATGGTAAATGAATAAATAGGAATAGATGCAAATCAGCATACCCATCAATATGTATAATCTGGGTTCTAGGAAGAGAATTTCCAATTCCCCTTTAATTCTACTGTGTACCATTATTGGTGGACTTTGCCAGACTAAAAAAAATAAAACACAAAACATCCACACTGAACCTTGAACATATCCTTATATAAGAGTTTTTATTCCATCAGCAATAAAGCATCCTCAGAGGACCCAGAAGCCCACATTCCTGAGGACAGTGCTTGACACTGATTGATTGCTTTCTAATATATTTTCCAAGCTACCTGGTTCAGTCTTCTGACCACAAATATAACTAAAAAATCTCGCCAGTCCTTCTGAGTCATCCCTCGTGACTACTCCCATCTGCACTCTGCACTTCACTTGCCTGATACTGCTTCACTTGACCTTCCTAATTCACCCATTTGGGTTGACGTGATGCTCTGTAAATATCCCTCTACTTGTCTCATGGACCCTGGATGGTGCCACTATACCTTTTGAGGGTGAAGGAGTCTCCTGTATGTCTTTCTACCCTTAAGACTTACAAGAGTCTGCACATAGCAGGAACACAATGACTGCAGTCAGAGGGCCTGCGGCTGCTATTCCAGAATAGCCCAGCTTGCTAAGATTGACATCATGCAATGCAGTGCTGAGTGGGCTCCCAGGAGAGGTCCCCAGGCCTCTAACTCAGAGAGAGAAGCCCAAGCTACTCCTCAGTACTGTATGACAGCCACTGGGGGCAGTAAAAGCATTTTGCAGAATGAGGAGCTGGGCAGGGCAGTAAACAAGAAAGATCTGTCTATGCAGCGCCTAATAAGATGGCAGGTTGGGCCCCTGTTCTTCCTGGCTGTTTTGGCTTTACCTTGATAGTCAGAGAGCATAATTCTGGAGAAATGAGTTGGGTTCCCATTTTTGTGTTATACCACCTTTCTGCCATCCTTCCACCTTCCTGTATGGTTTCCTTTCCTTCCTTTCTGCTTTCCTTGCTCTTCTTTCCTCACCCACTCTTCCCCTTTTTCCTTTTCTGTCTTCACTATTCATGGAGAGTTTTCCACAAGGCTTTTCATGCAATGCTATGCAGATTCAAAGGTGAGCAAGACTTGATCTCTGCCTTCCAGAAATGTAAAATCTCCTTGGGGAGATGCAACCTGAACACAGGCAGGAACTCGAGGCAGCAGTCAGATGAATGGAGTGTTTAATCTTTATGAAGATGTGGATAATGTTAGGGGAACTGTAGGGGATGATGAAGTACCCAGCAATTAGTAACAAAGGGAAGCTATTACCATCCCTAAGCCCAAAGGGAAAAAAGAGGAGACTGGAACCTAGAGAAAGCCAGGCTGCCTAGCAGGAGCTGTGGCCTCATGTACTCCACACAAATGCCATCTTGCCCCTCACCTCATTCTGCCTCACCATTCACTCCCCTCCATCCTCTTCCCATAGACCTACTTCAAGCCTTTATCCTCAAGTGTCTGCACTTCTCTCCACCAGAAAACTCCATCTCTATGTACCTGATACCATGGATATACAACCTGGCCTTTGGCCCTTTCTTGTATCTTAGAAGCCAGTGTCTCAGGCTTTGGCCAAGTGATGATGGACAATGTTTTTTCTAAGTGGGAAGGTGCCAAGGGTGAGCCCTGATATCACGAAGAGGGTGGAGAGTGGGAGGAAATGAACACTGTCAATTCCAGCTCTGTCTTTCCACTAGTAAGGGTTGTGTCCAGTTTTCTCACACTTCACCACAGTGTTAATTTCCCTCCCAAGAAAAACCCAGAATAGCCTCATGTGGAGGAGTATACTATTCAGTATATTATTGAGAAATCATAATCCCAGCATCTTTGTTCTCTCTGATCCTACTTATATTTGAAACCACCATATCAACTGAACGTGGGTTTGTCTGAAGTCTCAGGGATATAGCACCAGCCCCAGATTGTTAATTTCTAACCCCCAAACATCTCTCCTGCTGGTTGGGGGTAAGAGAGAGACCCCATCCAATCTGCCACAAACAGATGAAGGAGAAGAGAAATAGAACTGGGAAAGGAAAGGGATTTTTCCTCCTAACTGAAACTTCAGATTCCATTCCATAGTCCAATGACTAAAGTAAATAATAATGTACAGTCATTTCAAAATAGCTAAAAGAGAGGCTTTTAAATGTTCTCGTGACAAAGAAATGATAAATATTTCAGGTAATAGACATGCTAATGAGCCTGATTTGCTCATTCTACAATGTATACATGTATTGAAACATTATTTTGTACCCCATAAATATATATAATTATTAGTCAATTACAAATAAAACAATTTTTTAATTTAAAAAACTTTATGCTTAATATTTTAAGTGTTATTTTAAGAGAACTTGTATATTAGAATCCCTTCAATTTCTTTACTCTTCTGATCCTTAAAGAAATATTTATTTGTGTTATGGGTTGAATTATGTATCACATACCCTCCCCAAAAATTCATATGTTGAAATTTTAACCCTCACAATGTGACCTTGCTGGTAAATAGGGTTGGTACAGATGTAATTAGTTAAGACGAGTCATCCCAGAATTGGGCAGACCCTAATTCAATATGACTAGTGTCCTGATAAGAAAGAGAAATTTGGACACAGACACACACAGGGATAACACCACATGAGGGAGAAGGAAGAGATGGGTGTGATATGCTTCTATAAGCCAAGGAACACCAAAGATTGCCAACAAACCTTCAAAAGCTAGAGGTGAGATCTGAGACAGGCTCCCACTTCATAGCCGTCAGAAGGAACCAACCCTGCCAACCCCTTGATCTTGGATTTCTCGCCTGCAGAACTGGGAGACACTACATTTCTGAGGTTTAAGTCACCAGGTTGGTGGTACTTTGTTATGGTGGCTATAGAAAACTAATACAATTGGAAACCTGATGCTTTAAATACAACTATAAGCATCTGGGCTGTAGGACTGTGGCTGAGCCTAATACAGGAATGGCTTATTCCTGTAATCCCAGCGCTTTGGGAAGTGGAGGTGGAAGGATCACTTGAGCCCAGGAGCTCGAGATCAGCCTGCGCAACACAGTGAAACCCTGTCTCTACAGAAAAATGCAAAAATTAACTGGGCATGGTGGCACACCCCTGTGGTCCCAGCTACTCTGGAGGCTGAGGTGGGATGATCGATTGAGCCTGGAGGCAGAGGCTGCAGTGCGCTGAGACTGCACCACTGCACTCCAGCCTGGGTGACAGAGTAAGATCTTGTTTCAAAAAAGAAAGAAAGAAAGAAATTAAAGAACAAAGGGCAAGGAAAGACGAGAGCAGAAACAGTAACTTTAAAGTGGGAGGCAAATTAACAGCAATAAATCAAAAAAGATAAGACAAGTCAGGTTTTAAGGGACCCTAGATGCTTATCGAATTCATGTCGAACATGACTTCTGTCTTCCAAGAAACTCATCTGTAAAATGGTTCATGTCAACTGCATTTGGATGTGACCAGCAAGGGAACAATAAAAAGCACACAAATCAAAATTACACTGTTTCCTAAACATGCTATGTTGTGAATTTTAATTACATTTAATTACATTGCTATATTTAATTACATTGAGTTTTTATCAATGCAGAATTTCATCAAAATGTCTTTGAGTAATTTCATGGGAAGTACATTTAACAGAAACTGTTTGGCTGATTCTGAAGGAACCATTCTCCAAGCCTGTTTGCCCAACTCAACTCATCAGAACGGGGCTGTTGCCCAGAGCACAGTGTGGGGCTGGATGAAATCAGTGATGGCATTGGCAGGTGATCAGTCAGACTTGTACAGAATATTTCAAATAACTGCTTATATATTACTTTATAAGCTTCTGCAGTTTGGGCTTTAATAGACTCTTAATATTTTAAACACGTTTAAAGTCCACATGCTTTTAGTTTTTACACAGAGGCTGAAAATGAATCCAAGATTTTTTTGTCCTGCTATTGCAATGAGAAGGTGGGAGATTTGTCTTCCGTTCATCACTGGACAGCAGGCCCTGTGACCCATCTTCCTGGGCCCTCACTGCATAGGCACTGCATGACCCAGAGGTTTGCCACATCTGATCATTTGACTCTGGAATGCTCTAAGGACTCCACTGACATTACTACCTTTTGAACACAGACCCCAGAGACCAAGTCCCTGCTTCTCCTTTGAAGATGCAAAGATTCAACATAATAAAGGAGCTGGTCAAGGTCACAGGTGCCCCTGTAGAATTCAAATTCTAGGCTCTTTTCTAGTAGCAGACAGGTAACGCTGACACTTTAAACATATCGCTAATTAAATGTCCAGATGCAAAGAACGTTGTCTGGGGTCTATCTAAACAATAGTGCATATTTTAGTAAGTCTTTAACTAAATATCTTATTTACAGGAAGAGATAGAAGGAAAAAAGTGTGGTCAATATGCTTGCTTTCAGTTATTAGAAATGTAATAACCAGAAGTCATTTTATCTATTATGTAACAATAGGGTTAATGATGTCTTGGTTTCGGTTTCTTAATGAACCCAAGGGATTAATTTGATCAGGTCTGCCTGTTCTGCTTGCTTTGGGTTGCTTGCTTTTTGTTTTGCTTTGCTGTGCTTTTTCTATGAAGCTGAAGGTTGTGGTAGCTGAAGGCTATGCTCCTAAAGGCTGAAACTTAATCTTCACTGGCCACTTTATAGATGACATTCATAAGTCGCCATTCTGACAGTCATTTCAGTTGTTTTTCAGGGACTTGGGCCAGCTCCTATCCAGTTCAAACCATTGAAACCACCAACCCTTCACATGGGCCTATGCAAGTGCCTAAGAGGTGGCCTTTTGACGTCAGAGGGCCAAAACCTCCACCCTTAGATCGTGGTAATGCCGCCATTTTCTGTACATGTCCTATGAAATGCCACGAACCCTGACTAAGCTTGCACAGAATAAACCTGTCACTTCATTTTTCCCCCCTGCCAATCACCTTTCTCCATGCCTTAAACCACCACAGTTCCCTAACCCACAGATATCCCCTAAGCCTTATCTTTAGGGAAGTGGAATTGAGAGCTGTTCTCCCACGTCTCAATTCCGCAAGAACTCTGTGGCCTTGTGAAGAAATCTTTTCTTTTTTGCAAAACCCATGTGACTGTGATTGATTTACTGCATGTGGGCAGAATGGACCTAGACCTGGAGCTGGCTGATCATATTTATAGAAGAGGTGGTTTAAGTGTGAGATTTGTAGATTAAAGGATATTGCAGGTTCTGGGAGGTTTATTTTCTTCCCCTTCTGGCTTCCCCCAGTTCATTTAACTCTCCAATGTTCCCCTTCTGTTGATCCCTCTCCTGTAGCCTGAAGGTCCAGGGAAATGCGATGGGCAGGTAGGAGCACCTAAGTGGTGCACAAGCTCCATAGTACAGTGGTTTGAAAGCCCAAGCCTAATGGCCAGCACTCAGCTGTCCACACACCATAGCTGAATTCTGGTGGCTCAAGACCCAAAGAGGCCACAGTTCTCATAATTGCCTCCAGAAATCCAATATCTTTCATAAATAGGGCAGTCTCAGGGAGGAGCTATTTCTGGGGAGAAATTTTCTGTAAGAAATTTAGAGTAGTTTTACCTGAGGCCTTCATTTTCAAAGAAATGCTGAAAGGCAGTGTACAGGCTGTCCCCTTCATGAAGACTTCTGACAGGAGGAAAGGAAGTGGGGCCTTGACCCCACTTCATTCCGTGTCTCTTCCCTACAAGCTGGGTGCTCCACTACTTGCTGGTACAGTCACCCAAGCTCTGAATTAGCCACCCTGGGAGTGACTTGGGGCTAATCTGAGTTTTCAGGCTTTTCCTGGCCACACTGCCTTCCACCCCATTTCCCTCCTGCCCTTCTCTAGTTATACTGGCCACTTCCTTTCCCTATCACCCATTTACTCTTCTTCCTCCTGCCCATGCCTGTAACTTGCAATTGACATTTCCACCCTAGACCCTGCCCTGGGTGGCACAACTGTATTTCCAGGGATCAGGTGGATGTCTTACTAGGTCCTCTCATGGGTACCTTAAACTGACATCTCAAACACTGCTGTTGCCACAAGATTCCTCTTCCTCCCTGTGCCCTTTCTGTGTTTATGTTATCACCCTCTTTTCAGTTACTCCTGCTGGGATTCTCAGAGCCATCCAATGGTCCTCTTTCTCTCTTCTGTCCCAGATCCCATTTTACTAGTCTTGTTCATTCTACCTTCTAAATAGGCTTTCACTCCATTCCCTCATCTCCATTTTCTTTGCTACCTCCTTGGTCAGATTCCTACCATCTCTTTGTTTCTGCAAGTGCAAGAGCCTCATAACTAACAATATCTAATATTGCCCTTCCATAGTTTGTACCCTAAAATTATTTTGTTTAAAACCATTTCCTCTAATTATCAATTCATCAGATGAAACTTTATCTAAAATTCAACCTTCTTCGAGGTTTTGCATCCATGTAAACATCAAGTTTTTGTTGACTTCTTTGAGGAATTTTAAGGATTTTGTTACCATGTCCCGTCATTCAATACTTTCTTCCAAACTGATGTCATCAGACCCATAGTTAAAACTTATGTGCCAATGACTCACAGATTTATGACTCTATCCTGACCTCTTCTCTGAGTTGTTTTTTGTTGTTGGTGGTGGTGGTGGTGACGGTGGTGGTGGTGGTGGGGTTTTTTTTGGGTTTGTTTGTTTTTTTGAGATGGAGTCTCTCTCTGTTGCCCAGGCTGGAGTGCAATGGCGTGATCTTGGCTCACTGCAACCTCCACCACCAGGGTCCAAGCAATTCTCCTGCCTCAGCCTTCTGAGTAGCTGGGATTAGAGCTGTGTGCCACCACGCCTGGCTAATTTTTGCATTTTTTATATCCACTGCCTACTTGATGTCACCACTTAGATGTCTTTAAGGCCCTGCAAACTCAGTATGTACAACACTGAACTAAGATTTCCCTCTACTCGCCACCTCACAAAAGCCCTGGTCTTCTTTCAATGTTTCTTATTTCCATGAATGCATAACACAAATCTAGCTGCACACACCAGAAATCTACTGGAGTCCCACTCTGCCACATGCAATTCATCAACAAGCCCTGTTGATTTTGCCTCTTAAATATCTCGTAAGTAGCTCTCATATCCATCCTTCTCTAGGAACAACACCACAACGTAATCAGTTGCCGTATTTCACCTTCACTGCAGCACAAAAGGTCTCCTCATGTCCAGTTTATTCCCCTTCTCACCTGTTCTCCTCACCACAATTAGAGTGATCTCTGACAAAATGCAATTCTAATGAAATCATCTCTCATTAACACATTCAATGGTGCCCTGTGGTTCTTACAATAAACATCATAGACCCTAACTTGCTTCTCAATGCCTTTCATAGTCTGGTTCCTCCCTACACACTGTGCAGCCCTCAGATCTCACATTAAATATGATTTCTTTCAAATCCCTGAATTATATAGGCTATCATCGTTGCAATTTTAAATTTGTGTGCTTGTTTGATTACTTAACTTTAATGTTAACTAAGATCACAAGCTGCTGCACTAGATGACATCAATGGCCTACAGAAATATGTAAATCAAAAGAAACACTCTTGAGAAATAAACTGTCTTATATAAAATGTTCTTGACTTGATAAATATTTACTGTTTAAACTAAGTCACAACATTTTCAGGCAAGAGTCTCCCTGATGCTTCAATCTAATCTCCAAATAAGCCCCTGGTGACTTGTGTTTGTTCCAGCCTCATCTCATGACACTCTCTGGCATGAACCATCCAGTCCATAGCCTGATGCTATGTGTTCTTTTTGTTAATACCTCTGTTCGTGTATCCTTGCTATTCCTCCACTTGAAATGCCCATTCTTTTCCACCCAGTAGGGCTCAAGTGCTACCTCCTCTAGAATGTCTTCCCTCAACTTCTCAGGCACAGGGGCCATCCTCTCCTCTTTTTCTCCATCATGTTCTGTACATTTAATCAGAAATCAGTTATTGAGGAATCTCTGAATGCCAGGAATTTTGCTGAATGTTGTGCGTAGCTTAATAGAAACACAATTCCTGCTTTCAATGAACATGTGACCTAAAGAAGGAAACATATCAGAAGTTAATTATATTGCATGTGACCACAGGAGATGGGCCCCTTAACTCCAACTCACAGTATTTGTTGTATTTATTTGCATCTGACTTCTCCACTGAGCTGTGAGTTTCTTAAAGTTGAAAACTTATTACTAGTTTACCTCTGAGTTCTTGGCACTTGTGCTCAGTGCCTAACCATGTTGCAGCCTAAGTTTTAAAAATAAAAATAGGAGTGAATTCTCATCTTAAATTTTATTTTATGTTAAGGTACTCTGTAATCAGCCCCTCATCTGTATGGATTCAAAACATTCAATCAATTCTCCTAATGCAAACACATACATTAAATGAGAAAGCAAAAGGACTCAGCAAGCAGAAAACAAAGGGATTATGGGGGGTGGGGACAGAAACAATGGGTAGCTCTTCAGTCTGAAAAAAATGTTGCTATATATTTTATGTCTATAGTGAAAACATAATAGATATTTAGCTAGGAAGGTCTGGAATAACACACTCGGCATGTGTCCTATTTTCTTTTCAGGCATTCATATTCTATATTCAGTCTTTGAATTTGAAGATGCATGAATTTCCTGAACATCAGATATACCTACACTCACCAAAAAACAAAAGCCAAAAAACAAATCAAATAGAATGGATTTTTTGAGCATCTGAAATATTACTACACTTCTATAATTGCGGAAATGTTGAACACTTCCACAACTATATCCAGATTGAATATGTTAATTTTTCCCTTGGCTTTGCCTGAAATATTTGCAGTTAATATAGGAAGCAGTAATACAATAGAAAGTTGATGATGATAAATTATAAAAATTTTTCTTACAAGATACTAAAGACAGTAGAAGATCAAATAATCCACAGCAAAAACAAATAAACCAACAGACAAATTAAGTAGAGTCAGTCAAGGCACTTGTTAATCAGAAAAAGGCCTGCAGGGCAGAATTGATGAAAAACTAAATATGAGCAAAAATTGATATTGCCAAAAACAAAATATAAAACAAAAATACAGAAACCCAGTATAAGTAGAATTCAACATAATCTCTATTTCCGCAAATTAATGTGCCATTTAGTATAATCTTGAATGTTTTACGTTGAAGTGTTTTTGGCCAAAATTATTCTGTGATGTACTGTACACTTCAACATCTTGTTAGGTAGAATACATCAAACATAATGGAATAAACTTCTTAGAGCAAGCTAGACCTTACCAATTATTCATGTGGTCAATTTCCCCCTTTCTTCTGATGACATTCACATGTGGGACACAGTCCTTCACACATTCACATGTGTCTACAAGATATGGATATTGCACAATTTCTAGCTAGCTAACAGTGATTCTACCACCCCTTGGTGTCAAAATATGTCAGTTGAGAACCACTCACCTAGAACAATTGCCTTATTTTACAGGCTGAGGTTAAGCAAAGCACCCAAAGACTTCCAGGTGTATAATGGTATAGAGAGCCTTCTAATTCCCAATTCTTTGTTCATTTAATTTGTCACTCTGAATTGGTAATCAGGAATTATGAAGATAACAATTATACTTTATATTTTAAAAGTGTTTCTAAACAATGCATCTCCTTCAAGACCCTCAGCCATAAGAGGTAGGTATTATTATAACCATGAGCATTTTGACAAATGTCTAAAGAGAAGATATGCAAAAAAAATAAGCAACTCTTAGGAGACAATATCTGAACCCTTTGAATGTGCTCCCTAATAGAGGGTTTTTGTATGCCTGAGGCCTTGAGCCACACTGTATTAGTTTGATCAAATATTTTAGGCTAGCACATCTAACTTACAGTGAATATCCCATGTGCCTTTTTCCTTGACTGATTTCAATCAGGATTCTTCTGCTGTAATAAACTATAACCATGAGTATAACAGCTTTTCTTAGACCTGTGACTCCTTGTAGTGAGTCATCAAGCCTAAGAGTCATTTTGGGGAAATCCCTCCCATGCCGTTTTCTATTGCTGCTATAAGAAATTACTACAAAGTTGGTGGCTTTAAACAATGCAAATCTATTCTCTTGTAGTTCTTAAGGTCAGAAGTCTAAAATGTTTCAGCAGGTGATATGGTTTGGCTGTGTCTCCACCCAAATCTCATCTTGAACTGTAGCTCACACAATCCCCATGTGTCCTGGAAGGAACTCCGTGGGAGGTAATTGAATCATGGGGGCAGGTTTTTCCCATGCTGTTCTCATGACAGTGAATAAGTCTCATGAGATCTGATGGTTTTATAAACAGCAGTTCCCCTGCACACTATCTCTTGCCTGCCACCATGTAAGATGTGACTTTGCCTTCTCATTCGCCTTCTACCATGATTATGAGGCCCCCCCCAGCCACGTGGAACTGTGAGTCAATTAAACCTCTTTTCTTTATAAATTACCCAGTTGGGTGTGTCTTTATTAGCAGCATGAGAACAGACTAATACAGCATGGCTGCATTCCTTCTGGAGGCTCAAGGGAGAATCTACTTCCTTGCCTCTTCTAGAGCTTCTAGAGGCTGTTTGTGTTTGTTGGCTCATGGTCTCATCTTCAAATGCAGAAGGGTAGCATCTTCCAATCTCTCTATATCCCTACTTTGGTCACTCCATTGCCTTA
The DNA here is from genome assembly GCF_000001405.40 of Homo sapiens. Lineage (NCBI taxonomy): Eukaryota > Metazoa > Chordata > Mammalia > Primates > Hominidae > Homo > Homo sapiens. The sequence goes on along the minus strand of NC_000004.12, from coordinate 154,073,051 downwards.
TATCCTTCCTCTGACCCTCCTTTCTCACCCCACTCTTACAAGTAGCCCTGTGATTACATTGGAACCACCCAGACAATCCAGGGTCTTTCCAACTCAAAATCCTTAACTTAATCACATCTACAGAGTTCCCTTTACCATGTAAGGTAACACAGTCA